>NC_000001.11:205760344-205911859 GCF_000001405.40 Homo sapiens
CGACAGAGCAAGGCTGTTTCCTGCATCGCCCCTCCCGCAAAAAAAAAAAAAACCAATAAAAACAAAAAAAATGACAGTGGAAGAGGAACAGACAGACGTGGTGGCTCATGCCTGTAATCCCAGCATTTTGGGAGGCTGAGACAGGAGGATAGTTTGAGCCCAGGAGTTTGAGACCCACCTGGGCAACATAGCATCCTCTGCCTTGGTCCCCCTAAGTGCCTATCTCTATAAAAAATTAGGAAAAAAAAATTAGCCATGTGTGTTGGTGTGGGCCTGTGATCCTAGCTACTAAGGACACTGAGGTGGGAGGATTGCTTGAGCTTGGGAAGTCCAGGCTGCAGCGAGCTGTGGTCGTGCCACTGCATTCCATCCTGAGCAACAGACTAAGACCCTGTCTCAAAAACAAAATAAAACAAACAAACAAACAAACAAGTGGAAGTGGGAGGCAGAAAAGGTCAGAGTGATGAGATATGGGAAAGGTTTCATCAGCTATAGCTGGCTTTTGAAGATGAAGAAAGGGAACCATGAGCCAAGGAATGTGGGCAGCCTCTAGAAGCCAGAAAAAGCAAGAAAAATGATTCTTCCCTAAAATAGCTGCTAGAGAGGAATGCAGCTCTGCCAACACCAGTTTTACCCGAGAGAGACCCATTTTGGACTTCTGACCTCTAGAGCTGTAAGATAATTAATTTGTGTTGTTTTAAGCCACTTATAAAAGAAGTAATGTTTATGTTTTTCAATAAGAAAAAAAAAGATTAAAAATGCCCTTTCAATAGTTCTCTACAACAGGGTGAAATCCAGGCCAGATGTGGTGGCTCACACTTGTAATCTCAGTACTTTGGGAGGCCAAGGTTAGAGGATCACCTGAAGCCAGGAGTTCGAGGCTGCACTGAGCTATGACCACATTACTGCACCCTAGCCTGGGTAACAGAGCAAGTCCCTGACTCTTAAAAAAAAAAAAAAAAAATGGAGCCTAAACACTTCAGCATGGCATACAGACTCTCATTAATTTGACCCAAACTCCAATCTCATTTTCTCACCTCTACCTTTGCTATGATCTGTATGTTTTGTGTCCTTCCAAAATTCATTTCTGTTTTTTCTGAGGCAGGGTCTTGCTCTGTTGCCCAGGCTGGAGTGTAGTGGTGCAATCATAGCGCACTGCAGCCTCAAACTCCTAGGCTCAAGCCATCCTCTGTCTTGGCCTCCCAAAGTGCTGGGATTACAGGCGTGAGCCACCATACCTGGCCCTGTTTTTGTATTTTTTTGTAGAGATAGGGTCTCACTTTGTTGCCCAGGCTGGTCTCAAACTCCTAGCTTCAGGCAATCCTCCCACCTCGGCCACCCAGGGTGCTGGGATTAGAAGTGTGAGTCATTATGCCCAGCCTAAAAATTCATATGTTAAAATCTATTTCCCAGCCAAGCATGGTGGCTCATGCATGTAATCCCCACACTTTGGGAGGCCGAGGTGGGTGAATCACTTGAGGTCAAGCGTTTGAGACTAGCCTAGCCAACATAGTGAAACTCTGTCTCTCCTAAAAATACAAAAATTAGCCAGGCATGGTGGTGCGTGCCTGTAATCCCAGCTACTCAGGAGGCTGAGGCAGGAGAATCGCTTGAACCTGGGAGACGGAGGTTGCAGTGAGCCAAGATTGCACCACTACACTCCAGCCTGGGCAATAAGAGTGAAACTCCATCTCAAAAAAAAAAAAAAAAAAATCTATTTCCCAATGTGTTGGTAGTAGGAGATGGGGCCTTTGGGAGGTGACTAGGTCATGAAGGTGGCAGTCTCCTGACTGGGATTACTGCCTTTATGAAAGACGGCACGGGGAACTTGTTTTGCCCCTTCTGCCATGTGAGGAAGCAGCAAGAAGGTGCCACTTATGAAGAGGAGGGCCCTCACCAGACACCAAATTTGCTGGCACCTTGATCTTGGACATCCAGCCTCCAGAATTGTGAGCAATACATTTCCGTTGTTTATAGATTACCCAAATCTAAGGCATTTTGTTATAGCAGCCTAAACATAGAGAACGCTACAGTCCTCCTGCCAGCTCCAGCTATAATGAATATCCACTATTCTCCAAATTTCCTGTAATCTTCCATTTGGCAAGCTTTTACCCAGCTTGAGCACCCTCTCCTTTACAAGGATTTCCTTGACCTCATCCTCGCCCTCCATCACTACAAGAAGTAAAGACTTGGCGCTCTCTGCACTGAGACACAATTCTTTTTACATGTCCACCTGCTTTCTGGACTGCCCTTCCTAGACAGGAACGTTCTTTTCCCCAGCCCTGCATCCTACATACCTAATGAAGTACCTGGCACATGGTAGGTACATCACTATTGCTTATATTAATGACCTAAACAATCTGCCAATAATCTAAGCTTATTTCCCACCGCTCTAAACATAAACCCTGGATTCTACTGGCTCCTTCCCAAACCTGCATAAGAATTCCAAACTTCTTTTGCCCCAACCTGAAATTCTATCTCACCTCTTGATTTTTATCCATCTTAAATGCTACTTCAAAAACTCTTTCTTGACCTCCTTCTTCTTTGGACTTCAGTGGCATAGGCCTTTATATCCCCTACAACTCCTACTGTAATCATGGACACATAAAAGGTGTGTAATAAAAAATACTCTGTTTAGGCTAGGTGCAGTGGCTCATGTCTGTAATCCCAACATTTTGGGATGCTGAAGTGAGAAGATTGTTTGAGGCTAGGGGTTTGAGACCAGCATGGGCAACATAGCAAGCCCCTGTCACTACTAAAAAAAAAAAAAAAAAATTTTTGTTTAAATATGAATACAATTATGTGAAAAAATATTTGCATAAAAGTTGATTGAAGGCAAATTTATGAAATGTAAATAGAGGTTTTGTTTGGGTTGCTGGGCCCTAGGAGGTTTGGATTTTCCTTTCTTCCGCCCCCTCCCCCGCCTCCCCACCCAGATGGAGTTTCACTCTTGTTGCCCAGGCTGGAGTGCAATGGTGCAATCTGGCTCATTGCAACCTCCGCCTCCCAGGTTCAAGCAATTCTCCTGCCTCAGCCTCCTGAGTAGCTGGGATTACAGGCCTGTGCCACCATGCCCGGCTAATTTTGTATTTTCAGTAGAGATGGGGTTTCTCGATGTTGGTTGGGCTGGTCTCGAACTCCTGACCTCAGGTAATCCGCCCGCCTTGGCCTCCCAAAGTGCTGGGATTACAGGCGTGAGCCACTGTACCCGGCCCATTTTATTTAACGAGTAGGTTTTTCATCTTTCATTATAAAAGTATTGGAAAATTTGTATACCCTTTAATACATTACTGTTTCCACCATATTGAAAACTTGTTAAATGGAAAAACTTCAAGGAGGCACTGTAGTAGAGTAAAGGGCCCAGTTTCTGGAGCAACACCACTTAAGGTTAAAAAAAAAAAAATCACAGTTTGCCACTTGCTAGCTGTTTCATCTTTGAGCAAAGTCTAAATTTTTTGTTCCTCAGTTTCCTCACATATTTATCTCATAGGGTCATTGTGAAAATAAAAATAATCCATGTGAAGTACTTAGGTGAGTACTTGGTTTATACCAAACACTCCGATTAACATTAGCTATTGGCCACAACAGTTGAAGCTGGAATGGCTGTCAAAAATCTCTGCACTTGCAAACAAAAAGCTGATATTCAAAATTAAATGACAGTCACTAAGGTGACATATCTTAGTAAGTGGAACTTGTCAATTAAACAGCTTGGGATATGTCTGCACTGCATGCTATTCTAACTGCACCTAATTTGGCCCCAAATTTAATTACATGCATGTCTCTATTTCACACATGAACATGTTCTCAAAAGATATCTAACACAAACCAAGAGTTTCAAAACCCAAAGGGCTCAGTTCTGTTTCTCTAAATGTCTGGGCTTATTTTCTAAAATAGGTTTTTCAGGCCAAATGTTTCCCAGAAACCTAAATGACAGAATGGAGACAGAGAATGAGAAGACTTGCAGTTATGCCTTGGCTGTATTACAAATTCAACCAGCTGCCTTTCAGTCAAATTTCAAGACATTTGTTCCCTGAAACACAGAATGGGAAGAATTGCTTACTTTCTTATTTCAAAGATAGTGTAAGAGGCATATACAACTCACAGATCTGAGGGACGAATTCTATACAAAATAAATCATAAAATACCTCTTTCCTCTTCCTATCTGCTTTCTTTATTCCCACTAACATATAGTTCTTAATCAGATGAACTTTAACTTGATTGCAAATTAAATTAGACTATAAAAAAAAGGAATCAAAACAGTACCCATCATGATGTGATGGTTAATTTTATGTGTCAACTTGACTGGACCACAGGGCGCCCAAATACTTGGCCAAGACATTATTTTGGGTGTTTCTGTGAGGGTGTTTTGGATGAGATTAACATTTAAATTGGCAGACTGAGTAAAGCGGATTGTTCTTCCCAATGTAGGTGGGCCTCATCCAATCAGTTGAAGGCCTCAGTAGAACAAAATACTACCTTCCCCCAAGTAAAAGAGAATTCTCCTTCCTGACAGGCTTTAAACTGGAACATTGACTTTTCCAGCCCACTAGACAACAGCTCTGCAGATTTTTTTTTTTTTTGAGACAGTGTCTCACTCTGTTACCCAGGCTGGAGTGCAGTGGCATGATTTTGGCTCACTGCAACCTCCGCCTCCCACGTTCAAGTGATTCTCCTGCCTCAGCCTGCCGAGTAGCTGGGACTACAGGCGCCCACCACCATGCCTGGCTAATTTTTGTATTTTCTAGTAGAGATGGGGTTTCATCATGTTGGCCAGGCTTATCTTGAACTCCCAACCTCAAAGGATCCGCTCGCCTCAGCCTCCCAAAGTGTTGGGACTACAGGCGTGAGCCACTGCACCCAGCCAAGCTCTGCAGATTTTGGATTTGCCAGCCTCCATAATTGTGTAAGCCAATTCCTTATAATAAATACACATATATTTATATATCTATATCTCCCTATATGTTTATTTCTATATATCTTTTACTTATAATATTTACCAATCTCTCTTATTGGTTCTGTTTCCCTGGAGAACTCTAATATAGAACAATAAATACCATTATACCAAAACTGCAGCTAAAACTTCAGAGAATTCAGGTCATGCTGGAAAACTAAAGGCAGGCAGGGTTTTTCTAACAACAAAGGTCATATATTCTGACTATATCCTGAAGTCTCTGGTATTTATGGCAGAATAAAAAAATATGTAGAAATATGGTGAAACCCTGTCTCTACAAAAAGTACAAAAATCAGCTGGGCGTGGGGGCATGAGCCTGTAGTCCCAGCTACTCATGAGGCCGAGGTGGGAAGGTTGGAGGATTGATTGAGTCTAGGAGGTTGAGGCTGTAGCAAGCCGAGATCGCACCACTACACTCCAGCCTGCGTGACAGAGTGAGACCCTATCTCAAAAAAAAAAAAAAAAAAAAAAAAAGACATAATGCAAGGCTGGGTGTGCGGTGGCTCATGCCTCCTATAATCCCAGCACTGTGGGAGGTAGAGGCAGGCAGATCACCTGAGCTCAGGAGTTCAAGACCAGCCTGGGCAACATGGTGAAACCCTGTCTTTATAAAAATACAAAAATTGGCCAGGTGTGGTGGCATGCGTGTATAGTCCCAGCTACTCGAGGCTGAGGTGGGAGGATGGCTTGCATCCAGAAGGTCAAGGCTGCAGTAAGCTGAGATTGTGCCACTGGACTGCAGTCCAGCTTCAGTGATAGAGTGAGACCCTGTCTCAAAACAAACAAACAAAACCCAACTCTCTCTATATATAATATATCATATATATAATTATATGTAGAATTCTTTCCAGAATACCTCATTTTCTAGTGACTTCCTGCCTATTCTAACCTGCAGCTTTGGGGGTTATTTGGCTTTAACAGATGAGTCACTTACACAGCTGAGGAAATCTTCCTATACACAGTGAACCAAGAAGGGTGGAGGGGAAGGCTGGGTGCAGTGGCTCATGCCTGTAATCCCAGCACTTCGGGAGGCTGAGGCAGGTGGATCACGAGGTCAAAGATCGAGACCATCCTGTCCCACATGGTGAAACCATGTCTCTACTGAAAATACAAAAATTAGCTGGGTGTGGCGGCAGGCGCCTGTAGTCCCAGCTACTCGGCAGGCTGAGGCAGGAGAATCGGTTGAACGTGGGAGGCGGAGGTTGCAGTGAGCTGAGATCGCACCACTGTACTCCAGCCTGGTGACAGAGCGAGACTCCATCTCAAACAAACAAACAAACAAACAAACAAACAAAAAGGTTGAAGGGGAAAAGTACATTGAGTTTAGTTTCCTTGGGCAATCTGGTTACTAGATTTTACAGAATTCCATGGAAATTTTTACATCCTCTAACCATGGCCTTAGCCACTGCCTACAAAAGTATCAGGCAAGACAGGCCTCACGTTAGATGAGATAGTATCCTGAGGACCGAAGAGAGACCACCTACAGAAAAAGTTAAATCTGGAGATAACAGGAAACAGTGAGGGACCCTACCTGGAGAAAGTGAATTAGGGAAACACCTTGGGGTAATTCTGGCGCAATAGTAGTGATAAAGCAGCAGACCATTCTTTACTGCTAAAGGGCCTTCCCTGACCTACAATCTCCTCTGCTCCACTTATTTGGTCACTCAGCTAAGTGACCAAATTTCTTCTGTTCAAAGAAGAAAGTCAGGGCAGACACTACCCCACAGCTGTGTTCTCAGCCCTCCCTTAGGGTTTCTGAGAACACTCTGGGGGAACTGTTTTCTTTTTTGACCAAAAGCCACCTGAGTGGTTGGAGAGGCATCTTGTCTCAAATGTAGGACCTCCTCTAGGGAGGGGCTACGATATCTACGTTCCAAACAATTTTGGACGCTACCTCTTTTGAATGCACCAAAGAGGTAGCATCCGAGTGATAAGACCTAATTATTTTTAGTAGCATCGCATTTCCATTCATGTAAATATTTTATTTTTCCTAATCATAATTGCTTTTCTCTTATGGATAGGGGCACGAAGAGGAATTAGGTATATTTCAGTTCCTTCTTTAATTAGTTTCAGGCCTATAATGTTCACCAGTTGGGAGAGAATATCCAGAAGGGCTGGCTGGCTGGCCAGCCTCTAACAATGCTTGAAAAGGCAGGTAAATCCTGAGTCAGCAAATGGGAAAAGCAAGCACATTCAGTTTTTCAAAAAGGTCACGTTTCCAAGTAGTATTTGGCATGTTCCATCAAGTACTGAATTGGTACTAGGCAGATGGATCTAAGCAATTGGTATTAGTAAGTTAACAGGTAAACAGAATAATATTTACCTTCATTTTAAAAGAAGGTATTTAACCACATTTCTCACTTGTAAGTGGGAGGTAAACATTGGGCACACACATAAAGATGGGAACAACAGACACTGGAGACTCCCAAAAGTGGGGAGAGAGGGAGTAAGCGTTGAAAAAGTGCCGACTGGGTGCTATGTTCACTACTTGGGAGACAGGCTAAGCAGAAACCCAAGCTTTAGCATCACACAATATATCCATGTAACAAACTTGCACACGTACCCCTTGAATTGAAAATTTAGAAAAAGGTATTTAAAAAATAAAGTCTCCATTTCCGCAATCCTCTTGAGCTATCAGTATAAAACAGCACTTTGACAAACTCACATTAAAGGCCAATAACCACCATGAATACAAGACTTAGTTCTCATTTATTTGTGATTTTGCAGGTGTTCAAACCAATGAATGAAAATCAATTATCTCTTCATATCAATGAAATTCACTATTTCACTATTATCTTCAGAATCATAGTGATCAAAACCCTACCTGAAAATGGTAATACAAAAGAGAACTATTAATACAAGGTTTCAGAAGACTGTGCAAGTTAAAATAATTGGCATTAAAACGACACACAACAAACCACCGAAGGTTTGGTCCCTTTTCTCTCTGATATGTGGCCTCTGATCTCTTTCTTAGGGCAGTGGTTTTCAACGTCTGTGTAGCAGAATCACCTGAAAAGCTAACAGAATATATAGAAACCCAGGATTTGTATTTGTATTTAAATGTAAATACAAAAGGTCTGGGTCTCTGTATCTTTACAAAGTTCTCCAGCAATGGTTTCCAAACCAGGCTTATCACAATCACCAGGGAAGCTCTGAAAACAACAACACATTCCTAGGCTTCATCCCTAGAAATTCTGATTCAGTAGGTTTGAGGTCGGGACCCAAAAATCTTTTTCTTTTTGTTTTTTTTTTTTGGAGATGGAGTTTCACTCTTGTTGCCCAGGCTGAAGCGCAATGGTGTGATCTCAGCTCACTGCAACCTCTAACTCCCAGGTTCAAGCGATTCTCCTGCCTCAGTCTCCCAAGTAGCTGGGATTACAGGTGCCCGCCACCACGCCCAGCTAATTTTTCTTATTTTTAGTAGAGACGGGGTTTCAGTATGTTGGCCAGGTTGATCTTGAACTCCTGACCTCAGGCGATCCACCTGCCTCAGCCTCCCAAAGTGCTGGGATTACAGGTGTGAGCCACCACGGCTGGCTCAGGACCCAAAAATCTTAAAACATTTTTAAAAAATTTTAACAAACTTCCCAGGTATTCCCGACCAGCCAGATTTGGGAACCACTGACTTAGGACACTTATTTAAGGTCTATCACAGAACTTCAGGCCTCAGAGTTTAGTAAGAATATCGATAACTTTGGGTAGGTTATAAATCACCATCCTAGAGATAATTTAACAAATTAAATGGTCTAGTAGTGATTTGATACTAAAAAGCCCTGCCCAATTTAGTACTTAAATTACCTAATGATTTTCTGTCTATCTACTTTCCTCCCCCAGGCTAGGACCTGCACATAATATGTTTCCTATGACTAAGTGCCTACGTGTTCACAAAGTTGCCCCAGTGGAGGTTGTTAACTTCTCTCTTTTCTTCTTCCATTCAGATTCCCAAAGCTGTGAGGAGCAGACCTATTTCGAAGCATCACAGCCAGCTGATGTCACTTGCAGTATTATGCATTAAGACATCAACCCAGAAACCTGCAAATGGGAGACACTAGGCAATCCTATCATGAGGATTAAGCTCTTTGTGGAAGAAAATGCTTTCATTGCATGAGATAGGTAGTTTAAAAATGACTATTCTTTTTTCTTTTTTTTTTGAGACGGAGTCCTTCTCTGTCACCCAGGCTGAAGTGCGGTGGCATGATCTCGGTTCACTGCAACCTCTGCCTCCCAGTCTCAAGCGATTCTCCCACCTCAGTCTCCAGAGTAGCTGGGATTACAGACACGTGCCATCACGCCTGGCTAATTTTTGTACTTTTAGTAGAGACGGGGTTTTGCCATGCTGACCAGGTTGGTCTCGAATTCCTGGCCTCATGTGATCCGCCTGCCTTGGCCTCCCCAAGTGCTGGGATTACAGGCATGAGCCACCATGCCCGGCCAAAAAACTTGACTATTCTTGATGCCAAGACAAGAGAAACTTAATTATGACGTTAGAAGTTTCAAAAATACAGTGACTTCTGGGACACTTCTAGTAGCCAAAAATCCACAGATGCCCAGACCCCCTCCTTCTGCATTCCAGAATCAGATGTTTACATTCCAAGACAGAAAGAATCTGAAACAACGGCCTACAAGAAATTTGGGAAATGACATTTGATCTCATTTTCCTCTCAATTGGAAGTCATGATATCAATGAATATCAAATGGAAAAATAAGCTCAGAAGTAGGTGAGAATTATGATCTCTAAAACGCAGGTGCTGATTTCTAATCCTTCTCATAAAATTCCGGATCACAAATTGAGGGCTGATGAGAAGATCTTACACCGAAGGCACTAACTGGCACTAATGTGAGCCAGCAACATGTGAAAGGCTAATCCAGGAGATGCAGAAATGCACATGGGTTCCAGGTGTCTTTTCTAAGTGACAATGGGCCTCCTTACTGGACAGTAGTCAGGAGACAATTCAAATGTACTTAATAAAATTGTCAGGTGGGCAACCAAAGGGAAGAGACTTAAAAGACCTCCCAGAACTGGGATGGAAAATAAGCCAAACACTACTAGCAGCAGGACCAGCTGGAGGACTTGGTTTGTAGATTGATGTAGTCCCCTTGGGTGGACAAAGACATGATATCTTCTGTGGAATTTCTCATCATCTTTTCAATGAGGACTCTAAAAGACAAAAAATAAGCCTGAGAAGCTTATTTTGGAGGAAAAGCAGAAATGGCAGATGTAGTCTGACTTATCATCAGAGAGTATTTGGTAAAGCCAGAAGGTTTAAATGCCCCTTTGTCCCCAGTTATCTCAGGAAAGACAGTATCCCTGACCTTTAGGGGCTAGCATTCCAATGGCTCAGTCTGTCATTGTTGGCTCAGAAATAAGAAAAGAGGGTCCACAGGGCCACAGTGGAAGATGGATACATCTGCATGCCTATCAGCATGAGCTACTTACCTCATAGCCTCATTAATATTTTTGTTCTCCTTGACTGATGTTTCTGTCCAACCTGTGAAACCGTTCTCTTTACTGAACCGGTCAATCTGGTCCCGGCTCACTGCCCAAGGGGACAGATCACACTAGCAAAGAGAAAAAATAAAAGGCAGTATCATAAACTTCCTGCAACTAAGAAAGAATATGGCTCAGATACTGTGGATTTTAAACATATTTCCACCAATGGATAAGAACACCAGCATCGGAAATCTATAATCAACATTCTTCCCAAAGAAAGTCTCACCCTTGGCTGGGCGCAGTGGCTCACGCCTGTAATCCCAGCACTTTGGGAGGCTGAGGCGGGCAGATCATGAGGTCAGGAGAGCGAGACCATCCTGGCTAACACAATGAAACCCAGTCTCTACTAAAAATACAAAAAAATTAGCTGGGTGTGGTGGTGGGCACCTGTAGTCCCAGCTACTCGGGAGGCTGAGGCAAGAGAATGGCGTGAACCTGGGAGGCAGAGCTGGCAGTGAGCCGAGATCGCGCCACTGCACTCCAGCCTGAGCAACAGAGCGAGACTCCGTCTCAAAAAAAAAAAAAAGAAAGAAAGTCTCACTCACCCTCAACATCCTTTGAAGGAGGTAGAGATGATTTTGCCAACTTAAGAAGGGGAAATGGATGCCCAGAATCAGAGAGCATTTTACTTCCTTTCTAACCACAGATAGAGGCTAGGGACCATTTTCTGAGATTGGCCACATACCTTGTTGGCCAAGAGCAGGCAGGGCACCGGCTCTCCATTGGGTAGTGTGAGCTTGCTGTCTAGGTCCTGTTTCCACCTCTGGCTGTTGCTGAAGGTAGTGGCATTGGTAACGTCAAACATAATAACACAGGC
Organism: Homo sapiens; assembly: GCF_000001405.40. Taxonomy (NCBI): domain Eukaryota; kingdom Metazoa; phylum Chordata; class Mammalia; order Primates; family Hominidae; genus Homo; species Homo sapiens. The sequence continues at coordinate 205,771,604 of NC_000001.11, forward strand.
AGAGGCATCCCGATAATACAATCGTGTCATAGAGGTGAAGCGCTCCTGCCCTGGGGAGAAAGGGGAGAGTTCTCAAGGTGACCCAAGAGCCGGCCTCTCCCCATTCCTTGTAGAAGAGGGCAGTAAGCATATGTGTCAGATGGGGCCACTCACTTTCCCCCTCTGACTCTTGGTTTTCTATCCCATAAAGGGATAATGAAGCCCAATTATTTCCAAGGCAGATTCCGCACCCAGATTGCTCCAGTCCAAATCCCTGCTCTGCTGCATACTATTTGACTTCGGGCAAATCAAGCTCTCAGTGCTTCAGATTTCTCATTTGTAAAGTGAAGATAAAAGCAGTCGCTTTTTTTTTTTTTTTTTGAAACAGTTTCCTGCACTCCTGTTGCCCAGGCTGGAGTGCAGTGGTGCCATCTAGGCTCACTGCAACCTCCACCTCCCAGGTTCAAGCAATTCTCCAAAAGCAGTAGCTTTTATGATAGGGTTGATGTGAGGATTAATGAGTCAGTGAATTTAAAATACTTAGAAGAATGCTTGGCACATAGTAAGGATTCACTATTTTTACTGTATCTATTTTCTGGGGATCTTGTTTTTCACCAAGGTCAGCCTTAAACCTAGAAAAAGCACCCTCCCCTGCTGTGGGAGTGTCCACCTATAGTCTGGACAATCCACCACCTTGCCAGCCCCTCCATCCACATAGAGACTGCTCCAGATCTATTCAGGGCAAAACATCTACAAAAGCTCTGCACCTATTCAGCTCATGTGTCCTCAGAGCAGCTCAATCATTCCAGCTTCAGAAAAACAATTTCTGGCTTTGCTGCCCCATTTTTTCCTCAGAGCTTTCTAGTTAAATCAAAATTTCTTCCCTTGTTCCTATCTAGCCCTCCCACTTTACCTGCAATATCCCACAGCTGAAGCCGCACTATCTCGTAGTCAGACCACTGGAGAACCTTCAGAGCAAAATCCACTGAAAATATATGTACATTATACTTTAATAAAATTTCACTGTAAAAAATTAATAGGGATAAACTCAAATCAAATAGGCAGTGAAACCCTATGGACACACAACTCCAATCCCATATGTTTAACTTTAAGCCCTCAATTCACTGAGATGAGTCCACATGCGTGTATTTAGTGTGAGATGGATGATTCATACTCACTCTCCAAAGGGGTTTCCAGCTTTTACTCTACTGTCAAGCTCATTTATTTGCTACTGTTTGTCTCCAAGACTGGGGGTGGGAGTAACTATGAAAACAATTCTCATTCTCAGGTTAAATAGTTTCTGGGAGATTTAGGGGGTTTTCTCAGGGAAGGGGTGATGGGGGAGAAGGGGGAAATGAGACAAGTGTGGTTGCTTTCGTATCTTCCACATTCAATTTCACTGTTGGTTTCTAATCAAATTGTATTATGAAAAGAACACACCCTGGGGAACTCTACATCCACCATAAGGTTGCAGGTATTATCTTGGGCAAGAATGGAATAAATGGAAAAGGTCCCAGAGGAGTCCCAAGAAGAAGACACTGTGTGGATGTTGCTGAAGAGTCCTGCTGGAATCTACCACCAAGTCTGCAGGTGCTGAGACTCCTTAAGGCTGAGTAAGTATTCCATGGGGAAAGCCTTTTGGCTAAGGAGAGAAACAGAGTAATTTCTGAGGTTTGGAAATATTATCTTTCACATCTGTGACAGGAATCAAAGCTAAGGGAAATTTAGACTAAACACTGAAAAAAAAATTAGCCAATTATATTCTTTGCTAAAGGAAAACTACAGCAATTGTTAAAAATTAACTATTAATAGCAGGCCACTTTTAACCCAAATCCGTGAAATAGGGACCCTTATATTATTTAGGAGTGGGAGGGCAGAGCGGTCAGGATAGAGTGTCTGAAACTTTGAACCTTTAATTTTGCCAGACTTAAATTTTTTGTTCCTTTGTTTTTGAGACAGGGTCTCACTCTGTTGCCCAGGCTACAGTGCAGTGAGTGGTGCGAACGGGGCTCACTGAAGCCTCGACCTCCCCAGTTCAAGCAATCCTCTCGTCTCAGTTTCCCGAGTAGCTGGGACCACGGCTACTTTCTTCTTTAATTTTTGTAGAGGTGGGGGTCTTGCCATGTTTCCCATGGCTGGTCTCGAACTCCTGGGCTCAAGCAATCCTCCCGCCTCAGCCTCCTAAAGTGCTGGGATTGCAAGTATGAACCACGGTACTGGGCCCTACTGGGGGTTCTTAAGGAGAATGTTTTAATTGCAATGTAAATGTTTGTTAATTTCTTTTTAAACTTCCATATGAACAGGAGCACACATTTTCAATTTTTCCATTGGTACGAGTTTTCCCCCCTTGAAACAAGTTCTTTTAACAGAGAGAAATAAAATTTTAAGTTACTCTCCCCCATCACCAGCTCTTCCTAGCTAAATACCTTCTAATTAACAATAAGGCATTTCTGCCTCTGAAAAAATAGTTGAGTCCAAAGGCCACACCCGGGAAAGAAATGAATGAACTCGGTGTCCCCTTCCTCCCTACCTTCTCCAGTTTGAGGAAAAAAGTGGTGGGAAGATAGGTCAGAGAAGTGGTATATTTCACATTCTTGGAAGAATTCCTTGGTTACCTTTATTTAAGCAATCAACGGACAAAAACACAGCTCATCAGCCCTCATGGGCATCTGACTGCGTAGCCAAGGGGCTCGTTCGGGGATTTTGTGTCTTCCATCCCACCCACAGCCCCACAACAAAGCTACAGTCCTTCAGACCAGTTCCGCTTCCTGCGTTCTCCCACTGAAGCCAGGTTAAACACCTTGCGGTTCCTCCCTCAACAGAGGGGCAGGACTACAGCCCCAGCCGGCACCTAACCAGGAGGCCCCACAGAGGATCTCAGCTGCTTCTGCTGATTGGAGAGATTTGCCGGACAGCTGAAAGGCTGGAGACTTAAGTTCACAGTACGCCTGCAATAAACAGCAATTGCTCATCCTCATCCTCCCTTCCCTATTTCTCATCTTCACGCCTTTGCTCTTACCTTTCTCCTGGCAGTGGGCTCAGTTTGGGAAAATCTAACGGGAAACTCAAGAGAGGCGTGTAAACCAAACACCCGGCAATTACACCATCTAGGTTCCCAGACAGTACTTCCTGACCCGAAGAAGGACCCAACAACCGACAGCAAATCCCCACCCCACTTGGGTCCCCAGCTCGAGTCCGCGGTCGGGGCCTCCTCCTCCCCCTCCCCCTCCCCACCCCCGAGACGTCTCACCTCCCACCGTGGACTTGTAGTGTTTGCTGAAGCTGTCCTGGGAATATCGCTGCACCAGCGACGTCTTGCCCACTGCGGCGTCCCCCACCACCAGCACTTTGAACAGGTGGTCGCGGCTGCCCATGGCTAGCGGGGTGTGCGTTTTAGGGAGGCGGGAAGTGTGGTCGGGGATCGGGGGTCGCTCGTTTTAACCCCTTTGGATCCGGACCCTCTTCAAACTGAAGTGAGGCATTCCCACCCACCGCCTGTCTGGGCTGCTCTGACGAGAAAGCAAAAAAGGAAACTTTGCACTCAACCTATACGCGCTTCCTCCCCGGGCGGCCGCAACCTGGGTGGGGCGCAGGGCGCGAGCTCCGAGCCCCCGGCTGTTCGCACCTTCCCCACCCCCTCCTGGCCTGACTGCCGAGAAACTGGACCAGGCGCCGCGGAACCTCACCCACCGGGACTTCCCCCGAGCGGCTCCAAGTCAGTGACTGAATCCCAGTCAGCTCCTTACACCACTGGGGCCAGATGATGGGGACCCTCCCCTTGCAGCACAAACCAAATTGTGAGGAAGGAGCAGCCGGCACCTCGATTCCCTAGACGCCCTCCCGCGCGCCTCTCTCTCCCCTTCCTCCGCAAGCGTCACGTGCAGGGTTGCCTGTGGCACTACATTTCCCAGCTTTCCTCGCGGTAAAGAGAACCAGCCGAGTGCGGAGGCTCACCGCGAAGCCTCCTGGGAAATGTAGTATATTCGTTATTTTGTTTTAAGCAAACCTACACCAAGTTTCAAGGCTTCAAACTCCCTCGACAGTTTGGAATCTTATTTTGAAACAATTCTAGGTCAGTAAAGATCCCTTAAGGGGAGATTTGTGCAACGTGATCTCACTGGCCTGAATCCATCCCCAGATAGTTTTCTCCTGTCTTTAAAGGTTTAACTGAGTTAAGATTGAAACTTATTTCATTAGTAAAAGCCCAAGCCTCATCCATCATGCTCCAAGTGAAGTCCATTTCCTATTCCTTCAAGTAGATAGACAAGCCCAGGACTTTGTGAAATGACTCATATTTTCTGTGTGAACTTGCCCAATACCAGGCAAGTTCAGGAAAACTTGACCCAAGAGACCAGTCTTTGGAAAAAAACCTATGCCAAAAATTACAGCATTTAATATCCAGCAATAACAATAAAGATGGACAGAAAACAAGAGACAGTTCTCCATTCATACTTCTACAATGCCTATTCTAGCCATACTACTCATGTATCACTTGAGCTAGAAGCTAATTGAAATACACTGGGACTCCTTCTTGATTTGTTGTGGCTGTTGTTAATAGATAATCATAAAACTAGTGTTTGGCAAATAATTTTAATTTCTCAGCCTGTAACTTTACTGACCTACCTGTCACTTGGGTAGAAGTTGGCAGGACATGAGCTCAATGGCAAGCAAAGAGAGCTCCATTTTCTATACTTTTCTAGGAATAGAGGAAGAGAACCAGCGGGGCCATGGGAAAACAGCCCAGGACCAGACACTAGGAAATCTAGGTCTCTTGATAGAGAGGCTATCACTTATGTTTTGTGGCGAAAGAACATCAGCATGGTTCACAATATATTTTGCCCAGAATGTTCGTTACCCAGGTACAGGAGGTTAGTTCAAGCTACTCATCTTTAAGGATCCAGTTTTCTCTGTTCTTATTCGTTTTGACATAGTTGACCACTCCTTGACATTTGTTTCCCTTATGCCTTCTATGACGCTGTTCTTTCTTTGTCATCCCCGTACTTCTCTGATGATTATCTTTTTCTTTCAGGTTTCTCTCCATCCCATTTCCCGCTAAGTATTTCCTAAGGCCTGATTCTTGGTCTCTGAGTCAATCATTCGATAAACTCTTTAGTGAATTGTCCTTGGTGTCAAAGATCTATCTTCACTTTATTTGTTCTTTATCTCTGATCAGTGATATTCTGTCAAGACCAGCTCTGTTGGGGAGACCCTAACCCAGTGGCGCTAGAGGAATTAAAGACACACACACAGAAATATAGAGGTGTGAAGTGGGAAATCAGGGGTCTGATTTCCTTTAGAGCTTTTAGAGCTGAGAGCCCCGAACAGAGATTTACCCACGTATTTATTAACAGCAAACCAGTCATTAGCATTGTTTCTATAGATATTAAATTAACTAAAAGTATCCCTTATGGGAAACGAAGGGATGGGCCGAATTAAAGGAATAGGTTGGGCTAGTTAACTGCAGCAGGAGCATGTCCTTAAGGCACAGATCACTCATGCTATTGTTTGTGGCTTAAGAATGCCTTTAAGCGGTTTTCCACCCTGGGCGGGCCAGGTGTTCCTTGCCCTCGTTCCTGTAAACTTACAACCTTCCAGCGTGGACGTTAGGGCCATTATGAACATGTTACAGTGCTGCAGAGATTTTGTTTATGGCCAGTTTTGGGGCCAGTTTATGGCCAGATTTTGGGGGGCCTGCTCTCAACATGTCCCTCTTCTCTGATTTGCAAATTGATAAATGCAAAGGCAGCTTTGTCACGGTGAGCTACTTCTCGCAGGAGTCAGGATACACATCTGCAGACTATACAAAGACAAACAACACAGATTAAAAGCACAATCATCATTGAAATCACAGAGCTTCCAAGTGTTTTTATCCATTTTCGGCTCCTTTAAGCACTCCAGTTCCTGGCATTAAGGTCAAGTGTGCCTCGGATGCTTTAAATATTTCTTCTTTTAATTTTAAATCCTTATGTTAAGCTCCTAGAGCGGGCCATATCATTTGAGGTTGAGGTGTCACTATACTGCCATGGTTCCAGATAATAGGAACTCTTGCTGTACTTCTTATTATATCTACCATCTGACCATTTTGTTCAGACCAGCTGAACATAGTGTGGCCGTGGCACGCAGACTGAGAGGTGCAATTCAAGCTAAACATCCCCTTAGGGGACCAATTAATAATGATTCCATAGGAATCATTGTGCAGCATCTCTGCCTGTTCTGCAATGCAATCTTCCTAAACAAGTACGTTCATTTTTTCTAACTGGGTCCAATCCTGTTTACAAATAAGTTTTTGAGGGCGGTATGCCTCAATTATAGGAGCAGATTTATTATGGTAAATACTGAGATCAGAAAGCATGTGTAACTGCGTCATAAAGTGATTGCATCCAGGCATTATTGCCAGCCAAGATTGATAAATATACCCAATAAGTATAATTGTTCTCTGTGTCAGCCCTTAATGAAGGAATACTCACGGCACTGGTGATAACCGCTATCATAGCTACCATTAACACTTTATTTGTTCTTTATCTCTGATCAGTGATATTCAGCTGCCCAAAAGGTGCCCCCACTTGGATGTCCTGCCACATCCTTCCTCTTACTACATTGCCATAAAAATAGCTCCTTTTCTCAGCTTCCCTATTTCTGTCACTGGTCTCATCATTTCTTGCCTCCATGTAGACTTCAGATTCTGAGCATTATTATTTCCTTTACACATGTCCCTTTATACCTATTTATTTGTTTGTTTGTTTATTGAGATGGAGTCTCACTCTGTTGTCCAGGCTGGAGTGCATTGGCATGATCTTGGCTCAGTGCATCCTCTGCTTCCTGGGCTCAAGTAACTCTTGTGCCTCAGCCTCCTGCGTAGCTGGGACTACAGGCGCATACCACCAAGCCTGGCTAATTTTTGTATTTTTTTTGTAGAGACAGGGTTTTACCATGTTGGCCAGGCTGGTCTTGAACTCCTGACCTCAAGTGATCTACCCGCCTCAGCCTCCCAAAGTGCTGGGATTACAGGCGTGAGCCGCCGCACCTGGTCTATACCCTTTTAAAAAAAATTCAGTTACCATGTCTGATTGATTGTTTCTTCAGTAAATGGTTTCTCCCACTCATCCTCTCTGCTTCATATTCAGTAATACTTTCCTTTTTTTTTTTTCTCCAACTTTTATTTTAGGTTCAAGGGGTACATGTGCAGGTTTGTTACACGAGTAAACTGCATGTTGCGCGAGTTTGGCTTACAGATAATTTTGTCACCCAGGTAATCAGCAAGTAACACTTTCCTAGTTCAGGCTTTCACCATCTCACACCTGGATTCCTGCAGTAACCTGTTTATTGGTCTCCCTGAATTTATTTTCTTTTTAACTCACCGTCTACAACTGGACAGGATGGTTTTCCTAAAACACCATTGTTTGTTCTTCCTTGTCTACCAACTGTCTTTCAAAAAAAAAGGCCAACCTCCCTGAAGCTGGTGTCCAAAGCTTTCTATGCACCTGCCCCGGCCTACCTAACCAATTTTATCTCACCCGACTTCAAATGGGAGTTTCCTTCTTCCAACAAGGTGAGGTTCCTTATGCTCTTTTAAAGCCCAATGTCATTTTTGATTTTCTGTTTTTGTCCAGGATGCATCACCTTTCAGAATACTCTTCAGGTTTCTTTCTACACATCTAAATCTTACTTAAATATTATTAAGAAAATCAAAAGGAAGAGAAACTATATTATTCACTAAGTGGGAGTGGATTGTCTTAAAGGTCACCGAAGGTTCTAAAATTTTAGTGTGCATAAGCATCACCTACCTGGGGTACTTGTTAAATACCCACATTTTGATTCTGTAGGGCTAGGGGGTGACCCAGGTTAATCTGCATTTTTGACAAGTACTCATGTGATTGCTACACCACATTCCACTTTGAGAAATAGTACTTTTGAGAAATGGTGCTTCAAGGCCTGACTTAAATATCTACTTATTTATAAACATTTCCCTTATTATTGCAGCCTTTATTGGTCACCTGTAGCATTTATTTTTTTATTTTAATTTTTTAATTTTTTTTTTTTTTTTGAGACAGAGTCTCGCTCTGTCACCCAGGCTGGAGTGCAGTGGTGCGATCTGGGCTCACTGCAAGCTCCGCCTCCCGGGTTCACGCCATTCTCCTGCCTCAGCCTCCCGAGTAGCTGGGACTACAGGCGCCCGCCACCACGCCCGGCTAATTTTTTTTTTTTGTATTTTTTAGTAGAGACAGGGTTTCACTGTGTTAGCCAGGATGGTCTTGATCTCCTGACCTTGTGATCCACCCGCCTCGGCCTCCCAAAGTGCTGGGATTACAGGCGTGAGCCACCACGCCCGGCCTATCCTTTTTTTTGTTTTTGAGAGGGAGTCGCTCTCTGGTCACCCAGGCTGGAGTGCAATGGTGCTATCTTGGTTCACTGCAACCTCCGCCTCCCGGGTTCAAGTGATTCTCCTGCCTCAACCTCCCAAGTAGCTGAGATTACAGGCACGTGCCACTATGCCTTGCTAAGTTCTGTATTTTTAGTAGAGACAAGGTTTCACCGTATTGGCCAGGCTGGTCTCGAACTCCTGATCTTGTCATCTGCCTGCCTTGGCCTCCCAAAGTGCTGGGATTATAAGTGTGAGCCACTGTACCTGGCCTGTAGCATTTATATTCTATTTGCACTTTGGTCACTTAACTATGTGACCAATTTGTAACTATTTAACTTATATAAGCAACCAGCGTGTCTCGAAGAAAACAGGAAGAAGTAAATTTTTCCTTCAAAATTTTGACTTTGCTCCTGATCATCTGTGAAAGGAACTACTCTTAGCTTCCAAAATCGGAAAGGTCGGGAGTTAAGATTTAAGAGGGAAGATTAGCAAATTTCTGGTACTCCCTGAAAGACACAGTTCTCAAAGTAGTAATCATTTCTTTGATGGGGATGAGAAGTGTTTTTCTTTCTCTCTTCTCTTTTTTTTTCTTTTTTCTTTTCGTTTCTTTTCTCTTTTCTTTTCCTTCTTTTCTTTCTTTCTTCTCTTTCTTTCTCTCTCTCTCTCTCTTTCTTTTTCTTTCTTTCTTTCTCTCTTTCTCTCTTTCTTTTTTTGAGACACAGTCTCGCTTTGCTGCCCAGGCTGGAGTGCAGTGGCACAATCTCGGCTCACTGCAACCTCCATCTCCTGGGTTTAAGCGATTCTCCTGCCTCAGCCTCCCGAGTAGCTTGGATTACAGGCAGCTGCCACCACGCCCAGCTAATTTTTTTGTACTTTTAGTAGAGATGGGGTTTCACTATGTGGGCCAGGCTGGTCTTGAACTCCTGACCTCAAGTGATCCCCCTGCCTCAGCCTCCCAAAGTGCTGGGATTACAGGAATGAGCCACTGCGCCTGGCTGAAAGGTGTATTTCTTCAACACTAAATTGCATTTCTGATCTCAGTTTTTAAGAGAGACGGATATAAATAAGAGAAAGAGAACACACATTCAAGGTGCCAAACAATTGATTTGCACATATAGTGGCCCTTGAACCACTCAGGGGTTAGGAATGCCTACCTACCCTCCAGTCGAAAATTTGTGTGTCACTTTTGACTCCCCGAGAATTAACTACTAATAGCCTACTGTTGATTGGGAGTCTTACCAATAACATAAACAGCCAATTAACACATATTTTGTGTGTTATATGTATCATATACTATATTCTTACAATAAAGTAAGTTAGAGAAAATAAAATGTATTAAGAAAATCATGAGGAAGAGAAAATATATTTACTATTCATTAAGTGGAAGTGGTTCATCATAAAGGTCTTCATTCTTGGTGTTTTCATGTTGAATAGACCAAGGAGGAGGGGAAGAAAGGGGAGGGTTTGGTCTTGCTGTCTCAGGGGTGGCAGAAGAGGAAGAAAAGCCCTGTGTAAGCGCATCTGTGCAGTTCCAACCCGTGTTGTTCAAGGGTCAACTGGTATATGTTTGGAAATATAGTTTGGAAGCTGGGGAAAGGGGTCAGCCTTGCTCTGTAACTACCACACTTCCTGTATGTGTCTGCCTTTCTCTTTTCTACTTTTTACTTTCCACTTTTTATTTTGAAAAATTTCAAACCCATAGAAAAGTTAACAGTACAATGCATACTAATATGTCCTTCATCGGGATTTACCAATTACTAACATTTTGCCATATCTGCTTTGTCTCTTTGTGTGTGTGTTGAACTGTTTGAAAGTAAGTAGCAGACACTTCAAGCTTAAATACTTCAACATGCAGCTCCTAATAATAAAATTATCCTACAAAGCCAAAATACCATTATCTTTTTTTTTTTTTTTTTTTAAGACAGAGTCTCATTCTGACATCCAGGCTGGAGTGCAGTGGCACCATCTTGGCTCACTGCAACCTCTGCCTTCTGAGTTTAAGTAATTCTTCTGCCTCAGTCTCCCAAGCAGCTGGGACTACAGGTGCACGCTACCACACCGAGCTATTTTTAATAGAGATGGGGTTTGCCATGTTGGCCAGGCTGGTCTCGAATTCCTGGCCTCAAGTGATTTGCCTGCCTCGGCCTCCCAAAGTGCTGGGATTACAGGAGTGAGCCACCTCGCCCAGCCCAAAATACCATTGTCACATCTATGAAAATTAACCTTAATCCAATAATATCATCTAACAAACAGTTTACATTTACATCTCTCTATAGCTCCCCAATATTTTTTTCTCATTTTCTCCTCACCTGTCATCCAGAATACAATGAAGTTTCATGCATGGAATTTGGTTATTCTATTTCTTTAGTCTCTTTCAATCTTAGGAGCATGCTGTGTCCAATACAGGAGCCAGTAGCCATGTGTGGTTATTTACATTTAAATTATATAAAATCAGCTGGGCTTGGTGGCTCCTGCCTGCAATCTCAGCTACTCAGGGAGGCTGAGGCAGGAGGATGGCTTGAGGTCAGGAGTTCGAGACCAGCCTGGGCAACATAGCGAGATCCCATCTCTAAACAAATTTTTTAAAGTAATTAATTAAAATAAATAAATGTAAAGACCAGCTCATCTGTTGCCTAGCCACACTTCAAGTGCTTAGCAGCCATATTTGGCTAGCAGTTACTATATTGAACAGCACAGACATAAACTAGTTTCATCATCACAGAAAGGTCTGTTGGACAGTACTGTCTATAACAATCCCTTGCCCTTTTTTTTTTGACTTTCTTTTTAGAGTCCATGCCAGTTGTCTTACAGGAAGTCGCATATCCTGGATTGTCTGTTTATTGCCTCAAGATTTGATTTAAGAAACATTTTGGGCAAGAGCCCCACACAGAGGATGTGGTGTGCATCTTAGTATGTTGCTGATGTCAGGTAGCTATTAGTGATGCCTACACTATGAATTCAATGAACACTTGTTGAAGAAATGATCTGGTGCCAGGCAATCTCCTAAGGACTTGGGAGCTTGACTTCAAATAGGAGAGAGACAGCTTATATAATCTCCAGAGCCTCCAACATTGTCCTAGGAGCAGAGTGGAAAAATGCTTTGTAACATGAAGGGAAGACTGAAGTGACATAGCAAATGGCCCAGCAGCAGCACAGAGGAGAGGGACAGACCCAGAGAAGGGTGAGGTCAAGAGGCTACAGCTGTTCCTCAGCCCCAACCCCCAGACTCACTTCGATGATCATAACTTTTTGGCTGTTGCTTTGGGGAGGGGCAGGCAGCTTGGTGAAATGCCTGTGACCCAGCTAAGCATTCAGCTGGAAGACTTCGCAGCAAGGTGCCCAAGGAAACCCTCAGGACAGAGAGGCTGGCAAGTTCAAAGGGCAGCCTGCCAGTCATTCCTCTGCTGGCCCGTGCCAAGGGTCTAGGCCAGATTTGGGCCTGGGAGTATCTAGGGAAAACATCAAACTATAGTTTTCACTGCCTTGGTTGTCACATTTGCCTCCTTCTGTGGCTACCCTCCTTCCACCCCAAATAAAGGCCAGGGAAAGAAGACAGGAAAAAAGTGAAAACTAAAGAGAAAATTTTGCTTCAAAGAACTGGTTGTGTGGTTCCCAACTGTCCATATGGCACAGGAAAGTCTCATCTGTGAAACAAAATAAAGTTCCCTTCCAACACAGACATGACTGTTCTAATTTCCTATGTTATTTCAACTCTCTAGGAGGTGAGAAAAGCAGAAATTATTGCACCCATAGGCCATCCTTAGTTATCCACTGATAACCTGCCCCTCCTTGCCAAGAACTTGGAAGTAGCATTGTCCTCCTACCCCTCTCAAAGATAAACTGTGAAATCCACATGTAATGAGAGGTGCCCAGGCAGGAGGTGACATTGACCCAAGGTATAAACACACCTAAAGAAGGAATGCACTGATCCAAAGAAAGGTCTCAGAGGCAAAGAAAGGAGACTCTGAAAGAATTCTGGCTTCACTTCTTTGGGCTCTGTCTGGCAGAGGGACCAGAGTCTTACAAGAATATCTGGCCCTCTGTCAGGTATCCCTATTGTGCAGACTCATGCAGCCAAATATAACAAGGCCTGGCGCCTGCTGGACTTTTGCGTTTTAAAACTAACTTCTCTATTAGGATTCCTGACTTTCCAGGTACTTTCTGATCATCTGCCTTCCCTTGTGGCTTGCTTCCAGGAGTGAATGTGCTGGTCAGGCTGACGTGTCCGTCCAGTCCACTGACCAGCTGGCATCTGGTCTTATGCACAGGCCTCTGGGGGTGTGTGGGTCTGGCAGCCTCCTTGAGTGGGATGACATCTGAATGGGACTAGGTTTCTGAGCCTCTGAGGATGCAGCTGGACTCAGGGTCATAGTTGGCTTAGCTTAGCCATGTCATAGCCTTCGCCCAGTGGAAGCCTAGCTGTGAAACAGGCTGGTCCTCCTCACTGCTCAGCGTTGTCCAGCTTCAGCTGCACCCATGTCACAGATGGATAAAACCCAGCATCGGCTGGGCTTGGTGGCTCACGCCTGTAATCCCAACACTTTGAGAGGCCGAGGCGGGCGGATCACCTGAGGTCGGGAGTTCGAGACCAGCCTGACCAACGTGGAGAAACCCCGTCTCTACTAAAAATACAAAAAAATTAGCCAGGTGTGGTGGCGAATGCCTGTAATCCCAGCTACTCAGGAGGCTGAGGCAGGAGAATCGCTTGAACTTGGGAGGTGGAGGTTGCAGTAAGTCGAAATCGCACTATTGCACTCCAGCCTGGGCGACAGAGCAAGACTCCATCTCAAAAAAAAACAAAAAACAAAAACCAAAAACGAAACAAAAAAAACCTCACAAAAAAACCCAGCATCGCTCCAGGGCTATCCACTTCTTCATTCCCCAGTTCCTTCATATTATTACCACCACTAATTCAACCCACATTTTATCATCATCATCATAAAAGCTTCTATTTGTCGAATCTTCTGTGTGCCTAACAACCCCACAGAGAGGGCATTATTGTTCCATTTTGGGGACCAAAAGAGGCTAATTATGGCCACGAGCTGAGAGAGCTGGGATCCAAATCTATTACTATGTCTGTCTACCTCTAATTACAACTATTTTTAAAAATTAAGCTGGGTGTGGGGATGAGGGAGGTTTCCCAGAAGAGTACAGCATCCTTAGCATGTTTTCTGAGTTTCCTCATTCCAAAGGTGGAAAACAGGACCCCTACTTACTGAAGTAAAAAAAAAAAAAAAAAAAAGAATCTGCCCTGATTGGCGAAGGCAGCCTGGCAGTTGTGTCTGGTTGGAGAAGCAGGAGAAATTCTAGGTAAGCCCTGGGTCATCTCAGAGGATTCTGGCAGCCAGCTGTGACCCTGATACAGAAAAAAGATAACCTAGATGTTAAGCTAAGCGAGAGATATAGAATGTAGAAGCATGAGCAGAAGCATGAGTGGGCACATGATGGACTATTCTGGCTCCACAGGATGGGAGTTATGAGGGCGAGAGATCAGTGGCCTTGTTCTTGGCTTGGACGTGGGTCCCCTAAGAGCACTTCCGGCCATGGTGACATCTTTCCCCGCTACCTTCTTGAGCCTGTGTCGAAGGGTGGTTTGGTGTGTGGCCTGCCAATCAGGAGACTGTAGTTAATATTCCGTCTTTGACACCTGGGGCAGGTCTTAAAGTTAACCTCTTAAAGCTTTAGTCTCCCTTTCCATGGACTTCGAATTCCTAAAAACCACATACTTTATTTCTGAGTAATTTGTGAAGTAGTTAACAATTTAGGTAATATGATTGAAAGTTATGCGCATGACAGCCTGTGGCCGAGTAAAAGACAGATAAACATGTGGGTGTCCCAAGAAGGCCGCAATTTGGGGCTCTTCTAATGCAATGTTCTCTATACAATTGTTCAACATTTTTTTCACTTAACATTTGAATATAATACAAAATATTTATGTTCAAAACAAGGACTGTATATCACATAAATATGACTGAATAGGACATAACTTTTTTTTTTTTTTTTTGAGATGGAGTCTCTCTCTGTCACCCAGGCTGGAGTGCAGTGGCACGATCTCGGTTTGCTGCAAGCTCTGCCTCCCGGGTTCACGCCATTCTCCTGCCTCAGCCTCCCGAGTAGCTGGGACTACAGGAACCCACCACCACACCCGGCTAATTTTTTTATTTTTTATTTTTAGTGGAGACGGGGTTTCAGTGTGTTAACCAGGATGGTCTTGATCTCCTGACCTCGTGATCCGCCCGCCTCGGCCTCCCAAAGTGCTGGGAATACAGGCGTGAGCCACCGCGCCTGGCCAGGACAGAACATTTAAACTTATTTGGATGTGTTTTTCATTTAACTTAAAAAAATCACCAATGACTAGATAATATTAGTCATTCATACTTAACTAAACATAAATATGACTGTAAAGTCTTTGAAATTATTTTTAAACATTCTTTTTTGGTTGGCCAAGCTGTCTTCACTTTTCTGCAATTTCTTTTTCTTTCTTGAGTTATTAAGATTTTTGTGTTTTTGAAAAGAGAGTCTCACCAAATTGCCCAGACTAGACTTGAACTCCTGAGCTCAACTGATCCTCCGGCCTCAGCCTCCTGGGTAGCTGGGACTATAAGCTCATACCACCATGCCTGGCTGTAGAGTTTTTTTTTTGTTTTGTTTCTAATCATTCAAGCCAGACATTTTCATGGGTGCCATATTAAAATATTTCATATTTAGATAATGTAATAAAAATACAGTACAGTAAACAGCATTATACTATGCATTATTCGGTTTCTGAAGTTTAGCTAAAGGAGACAACTAAGTTCAGGAGACTGTCAGCTGACTGACCTCTGAATTGGTAGTGCTGCCTGTAATTATGTTATAAAAATACCATCAGAGATAGGCTGGCGCCTTGGAGCCATGACTTTAAATGTCCATTGGAAGATACTATTTCAGTAAACAATTAACGTTTTGCAGTCATGTATAGTGTCTCATAAGCAAAACTGAGATAACAGGCACCCATTTTTCTGATCGTTTTAGCAATGTTTTATATTCCTTATAAAGGGGCACCATGGCCAGCCATTTCATCTGGCTCCAGGCATAGAAGGCACGCACTGGGCTAAGAAACCTGGGTGTGAATATATGACCTGGGGCAAGACATTTAACTTTTCTCTGAGCCTCAGTTTTTCTCTTGCAAAATGGCAATAATATCTATCTCATAGCGTTATTAGAGAAAACATTGATGTTACAAATGAGTCTATCACTTAAAAGTATATGTATAGTATACTATATAGTGAAACACTATATAAATAATAATTAACAAGCAATTATCCTCTTTCCATTAACCTTTACTAGCCTTATAAACATTGCTTTGAAGAGTTAGTACTGGAGCACAGGCTGTGATAAAAGGCAGATTTTTGAGACTGGCAAATGTTCTGCACCCAGTATCTGCTCAATACTTTTGTGACATATCCCATGGGGGCATGTCCTGGGTGGGCAGTGGTTCCCGACACAGGCTTTGTAGTCAGAGATACCTCAGTGGGGCTGTGCTCTGACTCTGCCTTTCTGTATCTGCCATCTCAGAAAAACTGCTTTGTCACAAATACGTGCGTCTCATAAGGTTGTGCTATCAACGTCTGCGCTCCCAACTCCAGTCATACAGAGCTATTTGCAGTTCCCAAAAGCATCAGGCTTACTTCCTTGCTCAGCTCCTGGTTCCCTCTGCAGGACGGCTCTTTCTCCTATTTTCTGCTAGGCTAACTCCTATTCTTCTCAGCTTCCTCCAGGATGTCCCTGACTCCCAAGCCTTGATCAGGTGCCCTTTTCATTGGCCCGCTCCCTTATCCACCCTGAATTTATCCCATGGCCAGCGTACTGACATGACCTAGTCACTGGCCTTCGTCCCTCCCACACTGTAGTATTGATTAGGATTTTTGGGTTTAGTATATACCAGGCACGGAGCTTAGTGCTTTGTTTATTATCTCACTGAGGTCTCATAATGATCCTATGAAATAAGTATTAGTACTGATGAGGAAACTGAAGCTCAGAAAGGGTGAATGATTTGCCCAGGGTTATACAAATACAGGCAGAAGAGCTGGGATTTGAACCAAGGCCCATCTGACTCCAAACCCTTTGCAGTCAGTCTATTATAAGTTTCTAAGGGCTTAAAGGTGAACGGTGAAGACACACAGGAAATACTCAACAAATAAGAGCCGTCATTATTTTGACCCAGATTGTAAGCCTCGGTAGGGAGGGAATCTTAACCCATAAATGCTTGGACCCATAGCACAATCCCCCAACAGAGGCTGAGTTAACACATGGAGACCAGAGTACAACCTCCTCGAGAGCAAGGACCCTGCATCTAGCTTCTTGAGTGTGTCCCCGTGCACCAGTTTCTCAATAAATGCCTGTTGTTTTTTCTTTTTTTTTTTTTTTTGAGGCAGAGTTTTGCTCTTGTCACCCAGACTGGAGTGCAATGGCATGATGTCAGCTCACTGCAACCTCCACCTCCTGGGTTCAAGTGATCCTCTTGCCTCAGCCTCCCAAGTAGCTGGGATTACAGGCGCCCGCCACCACGCCCAGCTAATTTTTGTAGAGACGGGGTTTCACCATGTTGGCCAAGATGGTCTCGAACTCCTGACCTCAGGTGATCCACCCCTCTCAGCCTCCCAAAGTGCTGGGATTACAGGCATGAGCCGCTGTGTCTGGCGATGCTGTATTTTCTATCACACAATCTCTGCATTTTAGAGATGTTTCCTTTTTTTTTTTGAGATGGAGTCTCGTTCTGTTGCCAGGCTGGAGTGCAGTGGTGCAATCTTGGTTCACTGCAACCTCTGCCTCCTGGGCTCAAGTGGTTCTCCTGCCTCAGCCTCCTGAGTAGCTGGGACTACAGGCACCCGCCACCACACCTGACTAATTTTTGTATTTTTAGTAGAGACGGGGTTTCATCATGTTGACCAGGATTGTCTCCATCTCTTGAGCTTGTGATCCGCCCGCCTCGGCCTCCCAAAGTGCTGGGATTACAGGCGTGAGTCACCGCAGCCGGCCGAGATGTTTCATTTCTTGTCACACTTTGGCCCCTTTCTACTCCTAATTGAGGAGAGGGTAAGGCCTACAGAGGGGCCCAAGACAACAGTTGAAGCTGCTTTTTGATGAGACATACAGGAAACACCAACCATCTAAATAAACGTCCTCTTTATTTTACCAAATATAATTTATCAGTTAAGTTGACATTTGTCAATTCAGTTATAGTAACTATAAATAATTCTCTTAAGACACAGTTCTGTAACTTTTTAAGGATACGAGAGTAAACCAATATTGCTCCTTGCAGCCAGGCCAAAAGTACATGCAGTTGGTACAATCGGGGAAAAGAAATGAAACTTCCATGAAAGTCACCTTCATTTTCTTTCCCTCTCACCCTACAGTCCTCCTCTGCTCACTCAGGGCCTGGGGCATGCCTATCTGTCTGCTTTTTAGGCAAAGGAGGTCACTCCAGAGTCTTCTGGGACTGCCTGGCCAAATTCCAGAGATGAGGAAGGGGCGAGTGACTGGGGTAGGGGTGGCTGGAGACCACAGGGACACAGCCTTAGGGGCAGAGGAGTTGGTTTTGATGCCTGTACAAGAAGAATCTGTGTGTAAGTATTTTTTGAGGTGGAGGAAAAGATGAAAAAAGTCCAGAGGGAGGAGGAAAAACAAGCCCAGGCTGGTGTTAATGAATTCTGTTGGACACAACTCCAACTAGAAAACCTCTAAAATTCCTTCCAATTCTACGGTTCTATGATTCCAGAAGGAGGCCTGGAGGTCTGGGTAGAAATGGAGGGAGAGAAAATATGGTCTCTGGAGGTCTAGGGCAGGTTCCTGGGATAAGGTGCAGTGTTGGTAGAAACAGGATCATTGCCTAAGCCTTCCCTTGGAGGTGGGCCCTTGAGGCTACAGATGGAAGGGTTTCTGTAGAAGCTTCTGAGAGAGAAGTTAGAAAAAGCCTACATCCAAATCCCCAGATCTGTACACGTGTGACTGCGGATGGAGGCTCCAGTTTTCTCCCAATTTTGTGCTAGGCAGAGAAAAGTAGAAACAACCAGATGATGTCCACCCTGCTAGTTCTAAATCCTCTTTTGGGTGCTTGGTAAGGAGAGGTGGAGGGAAGGGAATGTGAGGAAGGGTCGTTTAGGGAAATAAATACTGGTTGAGCAATGGGGCGGTGGCTCTAGCTGTGGTCAGCACTGCACAGAGTAGGGGTCTGGAAAGGAGAAAGAGGCAGAAGAATCTGGCTTGAAGTAGATGCAAATACTTACAACGAGGAAACTTTCTCTGCCAGATTCAAAGGGGCACATGGCCTTTGTAACCTGGAGAATGAGGTGAGGTTAGAGCTGTGTTTCCCTTACCACTGGCTTATCAGTGCCTGGCACAGTACCTAACACATAGTAGGCACTCAATAAATATTGCTCAAAGAATGTTTCAGACCATGCTTGTCTGCAGGAGAGCTCATCTTGCGGAGGCTGCATATTTGCTAAATGAACGAATAAATGATTGGTGAATGTTTGTGGGTAGAAGCCAAGAAAGAGGAAAACTGACCTCTATGGCATGACAGAACGAGTAATTTTAGGAAGTGACAGGGTCCAAGGTGACCAAGTGATTATGTCCTCAGGAGAAATGGCAGCAATGAGACACCTGTGGTTGTCCTCAACCTCCAAACCATTCTCCACATACCCATGACCTGACCCTAATCTCAAAACCCAACCTGGCAAGCTCTGGGGAAGGTAGTGCTTAGAGACAATTTGAGATGAAGGTTGAAGAGAGACAAAGAATCTGGGCCCAGGGAGACAAAGTCATTTGGGCCCAGGGAGAATGTGGATTTTGGGGAACCAATAGGTGGACATGGGTCAACAGGGAGAAGAGTGCACTGTTCCATTTTTTCCTGGATATGACAATCAACTGGAAATGATCAGAGGGAGGGGTTGTTGATGTTGACCAGGCCATTGAACAAGAGGCATGTGCACAAATTGAAAAGTCAGTCCACCTTACTCTTTCTGCGAGTGGGAACGCTTAGGTCCAGAGGGCAAGAGAACAGAACTGGGATCACAGGGGCCTGGAGCAGGTGTCTCCTGTCCAGAGCTTTGAAGTTGGTCCACTTCTACAAAAGTATGTCTGTGTTTGGGAGTGTTACTTATTCTTCTGTCCCTCTGTTCAACCAAAACCAAAAATAAAACAAAACAGATAAAAAGAAAACAAAACCAAAAATCCAGAGCCCACTTACAAAGGGTTTCTCATTAGGGCCAAGACAGGTTGCTAAAGCCAAACCCCATGTCCCCAGATTCCAGACAAAACTCCCCTGCTCCAGTCCACATCACCTGGAGGCACCCACCATGAAACTGCACTTGGTGATTGTCTCAAAAACCTACTTGTACTGCTTATCTCAGGCCATCTGTGTTTCCCAAATTCTTGCTATACAAACTTGGCTCAATGTATAAAAATTCCCATTGAAAATAATGAGAATTTGGTATCAAAGTGAAGTCCTAGAAAGAGGTGGGAGTGTGGGGTGGAGGAGGGACAGGGGAACAAAAGAAAAATTTCAAATAGAAAGTGCAGAGGGATGGGGAAAATGTTGAGTGACCAAGCTAGTCCCCGACATCCGTGTCTCGGTCCCCTATGAGCCAGAGAACATGGAAGCTGAGTGCTAGGAGCCCAGTGCCAAGCAGGTCCCCCAGAGCAGTCAAGTATGGGATGGAGAAGTTGTCCGGGTCCAGGCCCCGGCCCCACATCCAGTGCACCATCCAGTCTGCGATGTACAGGAGAATCAGCACCTGGGGAGACAAAAGGGCCCAGCCTATAGCCATCCTCTCTCTCCAGGGGGAGCCAGAGGCCACATGATCAGACCCATTCAGTGCATCACAGGGCTTGGCTGGCCATAATCCTTACTTTTTAATCTTCCTCTTTCCACCCCAGCAACCTCTCTGTGTTTCTCCACCCCACAATTACCACTTTGAGCAGACAACAGGCACAATAAGAGCTCTTTAGAAAGGAAGATGCTGCTACGACCCAGGGTCACCCACATCAGCATTATATTCTGCTCCCAAGTTTACCAAACAAGGAGCTTCCTGACCTAAATCCTACTTGTTGCAGAAACTCAGCCCTCTTGCCTCTAACTCTGGGTCACCTCATTCTGGGGTCACTCCAATTCCTGCCATGTTGGCCTTTCCAGGAGCATGGCAGGGGGCTGGCTGCTGGAGTCAGCTTTTCCTAAAGGGATGTCTTCTCTCGGCAGAGTGGTATAAGGATAGTGTTTGAAGCTGCTGCTGGCGGTTGTCTTAAGTAACAGATGATCATCCCAAGCTGGCTTCCTCCTGACCCTTTTCATTCTGTTGTTGTGGCTTTTCATTCCATTCTTTTCCATTGTTTGGGCTCAAAGAATGCAAGTTTATTTTAACATTAGTCCTAATAAAGTTGAATTGTGAATAAGTCACCTCAATATTAATATAAAGCAGACAATGCATACCAATTCAAAATACATTTGACATGATCTGTGGCTTTGATTTTATCTGTGTTCTTGCTTACCTTCTATTAATACAGATAATTAAGAATGACTCAGATCAGAATCTCGCTAGTGGGCCCAGGACCAGCAGCATCAACAACAGCTGGGTGCTTGTTAGAAATGCAAAATCTCTGGACCTCTTGAGTCAGAGTCCGCATTTAACAAGATTTACATGCGCTTTTAAGTTGGCGATGCCCTTGATCTAGAATACCACGGTGGGGCAGGCCTGAATCTCCTAGAATCTGCACAGTGCCTGACATTTGGGCTCCCTAAATGACTGCATCTGCGTGAGAATGAAACAGATTCTGACGGTCAAGCTCTAATACAGTCAGTCATCTGGGAGGTTTTACCCTTGACTATACTTTGTAAATACTGTGGTATGAAAATTCTGCCCTAAGGGATCCAGATGCGGGAACCACAGCCCTTAAGGGATCCAGAAGCCAGAACTGATACCTATTTTTAGGCAATCTTGGTTGCTCTCCTGTCCTCTCTCTTTTTTTTTTTTTAAATTTTAGGCTCTGCCTGAGAGAATCCTGCCCTCTCTCCAAGGAAGCCAGAGATGACTCTTCACATTCTCCCTTGCTCTGCACACAGCTGTCTTGTGCTACCACGGCCTTGGCTCCCCTACCTTCCATAACTTCACACCCTTTCCAGCAGCTGCAGAAGGGTCCCAAATAAAGAGCATGGCCAGGAGGCCTTTGGGACATGCCCTAGGAAGGGAATGGTAGCAGCTGTCCTCACATTCCAGCTTCTTGAGCAGGCCCCAGGACACACAGCTGGGAGGAGGTGGCAAAGGGATCAATAAGAGCCTTTACAGGGGATCAAGTGTCACGCTCTGGCCCTCCACAGATCTAGAGAGGACAGCAGAGGCAAGAATGTCTCCAGGGTATTCATCATGGGTGATGGCACTGAGGCTCATCCTTTCCAATTCAGGCCAAGGGATGAGCTGAAAACCTCCACCACAGACCCCTGGCATATCCACCCCCATCTTCCCACCACGTGCTGCACTGGAACCCACTAGCAATGGAATGTGGCAGCTTGGCTAACTGCTGCAGGGCAACAGCATATGGCTGATTCTCAGCCCCGCCCCTGCCAAGATGTCCGAACACAACCTTTCTAAAGCTGGGGGTGAGGGGGCTGGAGGGATAGGTGTTAATCAATACAGGACTGGCGAAATAAAATTATGGTCTGTGTATCACAGAATATGATGGAGCTGTAAGAAAATCAGGGTGTTGTTCTCTTTATGTATTGATATGGAATGATCTCAAAGATAAACTTAAATGAAAAATGCAGGGTGCAGACAGTGTGTACAGTATACTACATGTGTGTAAAAAAGAGGAAGGAAATAAGAAAAATATATGTTTACTTTTATAAATATAGAATAGGTTTGAAGGACACACAAGAAAGGGATAATACTGATGGTCTGTGAAGGAGAGAAACAGATGGCTGTGAAGAAGAGGACAGAAAAGAAGACTTTTCACTGAGGTTTCTCTATGAACCTTAAAACATTTTTGAACTATGTGACTATTCAAAAATCAAACCTATAAAAATTTAAAATGTAATAATAAGGGTGGATCTAGCTGTAAAGGGATAGCATAAGGGAGCCTTGTGGTGATGAAACAGTTTTCTGTATTTTGGTTATAGTGGTGGTCACACAAATCTCCACTTGTGATAAAAACTGCATAGAACGAACACACACGCACACACACACACGAGTGCATGTAAAACTGGTTCAATCTGAATAAGCACTGCAGATTGCATCAATGCTAATTTCCTGATTTTGATACTGTCCTAAAGTTATGCAAAATGTTATTTTCCCATGGAGGGAAATTGGGTAATGGTATATGGGATTTCTGAACCTTTTTTTTGAGAACTTCTTACAAATCTGTAATGATTTCAAAATAAAAAGCTTTTACAATGTAATAATACAAGAAGGGAGAAAGTGTCATGGTATTATGGAATGGCAAGGCTACACAGGATCCGACAGATTATCTAGTGCAGTGGTTTTGACAGTTTTTCAAGCTATGGGATGCTTTATGCAAATGAATTTCTTGAGAAAGCTCAACATGCAAAACAGAGCCATGTGGAGCTCTGTGGCCAG
Organism: Homo sapiens; assembly: GCF_000001405.40. Taxonomy (NCBI): domain Eukaryota; kingdom Metazoa; phylum Chordata; class Mammalia; order Primates; family Hominidae; genus Homo; species Homo sapiens. The sequence goes on from NC_000001.11 coordinate 205,794,548, forward strand.
TGGGGTTGGCATGCAAACCCCACAGGCTCAGCATCCTACAACCACCTGCATGAAAACTACCACCCCTGGTCCATTCCTCTCAATTTACAACTGTATCGCTGAGGATCAGGGTAGTAAAAGAACAGGGTCAAAGTCACACACCATGTTGGTGACTCTACTGGAACTACCATCTGTTCTCCTGCACCCTTGTCTGGTGTTTATCAGCTGCCCTGACACAGAGAAAGAGGAGGTTGAGTGTCTAAGAGGCCAAGTCTGGCCTCCTCTCCCATCCCTGCAGGGCATCCTGGCTCCTTCCCATGCCCCTGCTCCTGCCACTTTGTACCTGGAGCAGTGCAGCTGTCATATAGAAGATGATGAAGATGAGTGTGAGGGTGGTGTGCCCGCCCTGCATACAGCTGATGGTGTAGAGGAACACCAGGTGTCCTGGGACCACGAGGAGGAAGAGGACCCGGGCTGAGCGAGAATTCACATCTGGAATTGGGGAAAAGAGGGTGTAAAGAGGAGGGGAGGAGAAGACCTGGCCCCAGAAGGCCTTTCAAAGTCAGGAGGGACGGCACCATACCCCAGGGCAACAGACAGATGAATGTCTCTACTTCTGCATCCTGTGGTCTCCAACCCCTAGGGTGCTCCAGGAAAAGACAGCCCTCCTGCCTGGGCTCTGCCCTTCAGAACAGCTGGCACAGCCCAGCAGAGAAGGAGAACCTGTGGATCTGGGGCCCCAGCTGTCTCTTAAGTGAAGCTCACTGACAGTAGGCCCACTCCCCCCAGGGCTGGGAGGCTGGGAATCTGCCGTTACCAGGGCTGAAGAAGGTGGTACAAGGACTGGGACAGCGGCGAGGAGCTTGCTCAGAGTTCTCTCCGGGCATTCCATTCATGTGCAGGAAGGTGGAGATGCGGCTGGCCTGCACTGCCACCAGATTGCCCCCAACACCTGCAGAGACACATACGGGCTTAGACACAGACAGAGGTCAGAGGGAGGAGTGGGAACAAAATGATCTTCTCACTCTTTGTCTTCTATCTATAGAGGCACTGTCCTCTGTCTTAATTTAGGGTCTATGTGGGCATCACCCATTCACCAGTCCCCAAAAGAAGAGTAAGGCACTAAGAAGGAAGACAAAGACCCCTGCTTCCAGTGCATCTTCCAGCCTCCCCCATCCTCCCCTCTATGGAGATGCAGCAGTTCCATGTTCCCCTGGCAAAGCTGTGACAGTGCCGGAAAGGATACGTGCAGATCTGCAGACTCAGAGAGCCTGACTTCTCCACCAGTAGAGCATGGGCACCTGCCTTCCTACACAGCTGAGGGGATGAAGCCCTGCCTTGCCTCACCGCCTCACCTCCTCTCCAATGCTCTGAGCAGACCCAGGCATCCTATGGTCATATGCTGATTCTGGTAACCAGTTTCAAGGATCAGGTTTGAGCTCCAAACTCTGGAATCTGGTATCTCCGCCAGGACCTGTGCTGATTTCTCTGTTGCCCTCACATCCCAACCTGCTCCCTGCTCTTCTCAGCCTTGCTCTGAGCTCTGGGGGACTGGTCTCCACAGACTGCATTACCCAGTCTCCCTTGCTGGCTGCTTCCACTGTTTGTTCAGTGGGAGGCAACAGCAGGCAACCAGAGGGCAGGTGGAGAGAGAGATCAGGTATTTCTTTCCCAATCCCTCCCTGCTTTTCAGCATTGGCTTCCCCATGTTGGGGGCAAAGACAGAGCTTTCACTGGACTCCTATAATGCTATTCCCTCGTTACTATGGTTTGAATATAGTTTGTCCCCAACAAAACTCATGTTGTGGCTTGGTCCCCAAATGTGGTGGTGGGAGGTGGTGCCTTTAAGAGTGAATAGGTTATTAAGATGGATTAATGTCTTTCTTGGGAAAGGTATAGTTCCCATGAGAGTGGGTTGTCATAAAGCGAGGTTTGCCTCTCTTGTTTTGCCCATTTTGCACATGCCCAGTTTTCCTTCTGTTTCTCCATTTGGATGTTTGGATGCAGCATGAGGCCCTCACTAGAAGCAGCTGCTCAATCTTGAACTTCCCAGCTTCCAGAACTGTGAGCTAAATAAACTTCTTTTCGTTATAAATTAGCCAGTTTCAAGTATTCTGTTCTAGCAACAGATAATGGACTATGATACTCCCCTTGACCCTTTAGGAGTAGAGGCTTCCCATTGCTGCTAATCTCTCGGTGCCTCAACATCCCTTATCTGTCCTTTTACTCTGCTCCCACCTCTGTAAGCAGTCCCTTCATTAAGGTCTTGAACCATCTGAGCTAGATTCTCGTCTGCTGGAACCCTGACTGATACAGAAACCAACCCCTTAAGTCCTCTTCTCCTGTCCCTTTCCTTCCCCCAGCCCTGCCCTCTGATAGCTGATGCCCAGACCTCACCATTAATCACAGGCGTGAAGACAGCCATCCCAGCAAAGTTGGGGTCTGAGACAGTCTTGTCCAAGATGAGGCCTCCCACACTATAGAGACATAAAGACAAAATGACGCAAAGACCACTGAAGGGTTCTGCCTTAGTCTCTGGGATGAGAGGTCCAGGCCCACCTATCCTTGGAGATGAAGGGAAGCACCATGGCTCTCAGGAGTTCCTCACCATCCAGTCCTTGCCTCCCTTGACAGGATTAGGTGCTGCTCATAACATTCTGACTGGGCACAGTGACTCCAGAACAAGCTGGTGGTACTGGGTCAGGCAACCACCTCCTGTACCTGCCCTCTAAGTTGGCCGGAGGAGCAGCCTGCAGGACTATCTGCCTCTGAGGACCTCTGTTGTTCTGCCCACTCAGCATTTACTTCCCTTTCTGGTGATAGCACTGGGCTCCTCCACAGGGAACCACCTCTCTCAAGCTCAGTGACTGTGGCTCAGGTGACAATGCCTCAATGATAGCTAGGCTCCAGGTCCATCCAATCAGAGGATTGCAGCCCCAAGGCCACGCTGACTGGTTTGGAGATAATCATGTCACCAGATGAGAAGCAGTGGAACTCTATTCTGGGACTTTGTGGAACTGTTGGGGGAAGAATCTCTCTTCCCACTGGAATTTGTAGGAGTAAGAAAAGCATAAACCTGGGCTGTAGGCCATGACAGAGAAGAGCAGAGCTAAGAGTCACAGAGTACTGGGGCCCTGATCTTAGGTATGTCGCTGAATTCAGCTGTGCCTTTTTGGTTCTCCAGGCCAATACATTCTGCCTTGGAATGAAACCCAGTTCAGATGGTTTCTGTCATTTTCAACAGAAGGACATGTGACTGAAACACTAATGAACACATTTCTAGGGTCTGACCCCCACCCCATCTCTCCAGGGTTTAAAAAGAAGTCTGTGGAAGGGTTGGAGTGGGGTAGGAGTGGATACTCAGGGCCCCAGCCTACCTGCTGATGGCCATGGCAATGATAACAGGCTCCCAGCCCGAGTACAACACCTCCCTTGTGGCTGGACTTCGTCGGGCCAGCACCACCCAGACAGGCAGCAGGGCCACAAAGAAAGCACACACCAGTGGGTAGATGTATCGCCAGTGATCTGAGAGGGCAGAGGTCAGAAGGAGATAAGCACTGTGTTTCCCTACCCTAAGTTTCTCCCTGGCTCAGCCTGAAAATGTCCCAACAGATCAATAGCAAGACTACACTAAATGCCAGTAAACACATTATCCCATTTGATCTTCACTGGCAGCTCAGGAGGTAGGTGGGACAAGCCTTTTCCATTTTATGGATGAGGAAACCAAGGGAGAGAGCTAGCCAGGCACTGAGCCAATTAGGGACAGAGACCAGAGGACAGAGACTCTAGGTCTCTTGATTGGAGCCCAGAAAACACCATCTCCCACCCGCTTCTTCATTTTGCAAGCAGATCTAAGCCTCTGGTTCCTTTCCTTTACCCTTTCCACCTCATCCCTCCAAGAGAAGTAAGAATCTGCAGGACCACACAGGAATATACTTCTGATACTTTTCCCCTGCCCCTGATGCCTGCTTGAATTTGAGATCAGTACTTAGCTTCAAATCTCTAAGATCAGGAATTATTACAACCTGTGTTCAAACCAAATAGTTTAAGAACACAGAAGAAACTCTTGCACATTTGCAAACTACTACCATCTCTCCCAACCCCACCCAGGACTCCAAGAAGCCACACTCTTGGTGGCTCACTCAGTTCCAGGTAGAGTCCCCAGCTGATGCCTGAGAGCAGCGCCAAGGTGATGAGGTCGCCCAGGCTGGCAGCAATGGGTGTGGCCACGTTGTCTGGGTTGATCCCAATCTTGCGAGAGCCAATGATGACTCCAATCATGATCATACCTGGTGAGCAAGTGGGAGGAGGGGCAGGCAGGGTGAGAAGAGATAAAGGAGTCTCAACAAACAAAAAGAGAGAGTGGAAGTGCCAGGTGCAGTGTTCTCTGGGGCGGCACTCCTTACTCCTCTATGCCCTCCCTTTCTTACCCAGTACCAGGGAGGCAATGAAGGCTGTGGCCACGCTGCTAGCACAGAGCAGGAAGGCGTGCGGAATACTGAAGTGGCCATCAGGGATCCAGCCAAAGACGACGGCTGCGATGGACGCCAGGAAGCCCACCACCGTGGCCTGCACCTGGGGACAGGAGTGGTAACTCAGAAAGCCCTGAGAGCAGTGGGCTTCCTAAGCTGAGGTCATAAGCATCTGGGCAGACCTCTTCCTGGCTGGCAGTAGCCCCAGGAGGCAGGCTGGACTGCATGGTCCAGTCCTCCCAGGCTGGAAGGATGTCTTTATTTATTTAGGTTCACACCAGCCACTAGTACTGGGCAGTGCACTCTGCAGGAGCCCAGAACATGTTACTGGCTGAATGAGTGTGCCTCTGGGGATGGGAGTGAGGTTCAACAGAGCCGGAGACTTCCACCCAGAGTCAAGGCCTGGGCCTCAAGGGGGAAGGCTCCCAGTCTGAACCTGTGTGGTCTCATGGGGAGATGGGACAGCAGTGGCACAGGACATCTCAGCACTCCTGAGTCTGCTCATATTGCCAGGATCTGCTGGGACTCAAAGGCACGTGCACCACCAAGAACTGAGAACCAGAATGGGTGATGCTGGGCCCTCCTCATCTTGGGCGTTTTCCTGGGTAACCTAGTTACCTCCTAGAGCTACTCTGGGGGAAGCCAGCTCAGTGGGATACTGGAGATTCACTCAGGAGCCTGCTGGGGCTGACCTAAGCCTTTCAGAGATTCCTGACTAAGGGGAAGCTTAGCCCACCCTCTCTGGTCCCTGCCTTCTTACCTGGATGAGGGCCATGTTCCCAGTGATCATCCGCCAGAGCTCCTTGGGTGTGTCCATGTGTCCAATGTTGGCCTGGGAAAGGGAGGGCAAGGGGCTGGAGCTTCAGGCTGGAAAAGGCCTGAAGCTCCATCCATTAGGCTCCTGCCTAGATCATGAGGCAGTACATGTGGCCTAAGACTCTGAGAGCAGGACCTGACAGTCCCGGAAAGGTGAAGCAGGATCAGGGAAACTGAGGTGAAAGGGAAGGAGCTAAAGCTGGGCTCCTGCAGCTGGGTGGGGGGTTGGAAGGGGGTCCCCTAGGCAGTCGCCTCTCTTCCTCTCAGGACACCAGCTGAGCAGAGGCAAATTCTATCCTTTGCCCTGCTTATCTGGGCAGCCCATTCCTGCATGGGTCAGAACAACCCAGTCCCTGACTCTGAAGCCAGCCTGCGATCCCAGGGAAGGAAAGGTCAGCTGCTGGTGCAGGACTGAGGCTCCAAGAGTATTTGGGAAGGAGTGGGTGGCATGGGCCAGAAGTCGGGTATGGCAAGTCAGGGTGGGTTAACTTGGATGCCACTTCTGTCTGTCACCTTCTCTAGACTCTTGACCCTGCAGGGAGATCCCTGGCCTCCTGAGTTTTATCATCTCCCACCTCCAGCCCAGGGCCCTGTATCTGTTCAGGCCCGGAATCGTCACGGCTCACAACTGTGGGAGGTAGGAATGACGAGCAGCTCCTCTCTGTCTGTTTCCTTAAAGAAGAGCAAGCTGCCATGGGTAAAGGGAATGGGATGGCCGGGGGGCTGGGGGTGCTGGGAGGGCCTGGCTCTGCTCCCGCCCAGCTGCAAAGCAGGGGCTGGAGATCAGAGGAGGCCCCCATCTGTGCGGGTGGAGGAACCAGCATGATGCCTGCCTGTCAAAGCTGCACAAACAGTCACGAGGTGGTTGAGAGGTAGGGGGTGGGGCAGGAGTCCAGGGGTGGCTGGGACATCCAGAAACCAAGCCTGGGAACCACTTTGGGCAGGGAGCCCCTGCCCAGGAGCAGGACACCCAGCCTGGGATCTCCCTACACCTGCCCAGCCAGGCCCTCCCTTCCCACCCCAGCCCCACACTCCAGGCCTGGGCAGTGGAGAAGGGCTCGTAGCCCTCTCCCAGTCTCTGGCTCTGTGCTGCCCAGAGTCCTCTCTGTGCCCCACTCCTCCCAGCCAGGATACTCACTGCAGTGGAAAGCCTTGATGCCAGGGTCATTTCCAGGTTCCCTTTGAGCCCCAGCAGCGCAGGCACTAGGATGAAGACCTCTGTCACCTTCTGGAAGACTTCCCAGTGCTACGAGGTGAAAACAGAACCCAGGAATTTCAGTGCCCCAAAGGGCGGGCATTGAGGTTCAACAGGTAGTCTGAGATCAGGGGCTCGAGGAGGAAATAGAATCAGCAGGGAGTGAGCACGCCAGCCACCTTTCCTCCAAGAACCTTGGAACCAAACCAAGCCCATGATTCTTCAAACAACACAACCCCCCTTCCTGCCACCCAGAACCAGGGAGATGGAGAGGGTTTCTGCCGGTTGGGAGACTCTCAGTCTGGCCCTACCTTTTCTGTTTTCCTGGAGGTGGGTGGGGAAGGGTAATGGGGACCCACACAGCTGAGCTGCCCTGGGCTGCCTGACACCCCAGAAATCCTTTGCAATCCCCCCTCAAATTGCAATCCCTGGCCCCTTTGCCTTCAGTCCAGTTTCTCTGTTGTCTCAGCTGTGAAGAGTTGGGCTCCACAGGGCTGGGGCCGAGGCTGGGGAGATTAGAGAGTTTGTTTGGTTTCTATCTCCAAGGGCTTTGGGCCTCAGCCACAGCAACTCTCCTTCTGAACAGGCTCTGAATTAAGACTGTGGCCCCTAAACCTCTGAATGCTGGCCTGCAAGAGGCTTTTTATTTCTCTGTGCACTGCCTTACCCCCACACACCTTCCTCAATCTCTCAGCTAGGAGAAGCAAGTGTACTCCTGTAGGAAGAGCCCTGGACCGGGAGTCAGGAGACCTGAGTTCTAGTCCCAAGACAATCAATCCTGGCTCTCCTACCAATGTCTTTGGTTAACATCTATTAAGGACTGATTGTGTGCTAGGCTAAGTGCTCTCCATGTATTTTCTCTTTTAATCATCTTAACAACCCAGTAAGGTAGGGGCTATTTTTATTCTCATTTTGTGAATGAGTAAACTGGGGTTCAGACAGTATTCCACTAGTTAGTGCTAAGAGGACTGCAGGAACCAGGACTGGCTATTTGAAAGCTACTTTACTTGCAATTGAAACTGAGGACTTGCAAAAAGGTTTAGGATTGTGTCTCCCTCCCTGGCCCTAACAGGGTAGGTGGTTTCTTTTATTTGTTTTAAGAATGGAAAGCCTCCAGGTTTGGAGAGGGAGGAGGAGGCAGGAGGCCAGGCGGATATATATGGGTTGGTCTGCGTATCATGGCTGGGAGGCCAAGCACTATGTTTGGCAAGGGCACTGGACCAAGAGCCTTGGGTCTCCTACAGGAGACAGCAGGGATGGCCCCCTGCTTATCTCCCCAGTACACCTCCTCACGTAGACCGGCTGGACACCTTAGACAAGTTACAAGGGCCTCAAGCTCTTGAAAAATGTTCAATTCAGGGACCAGATCAGATGGTCTTTCAAGGCAATTCCAACACCCACACTCTGTCGTTAAAGATGAGCAGTGGCCGAGCGCAGCGGCTCACACCTATAATCCCAGCACTTTGGGAGGCCGAGGCGGGCAGATCACCTGAGGCCAGGAGTTTGAGACCAGCCTGACCAACATGGAGAAACCCCGTCTCTACTGAAAATACAAAAATTAGCTGGTCGTGGTGGCACATGCTTGTAATCCCAAGCTACTCGGGAGGCTGAGGCAGGAGAATCGCTTGAACCCAAGAGGTGGAGGTTGCAGTGAGCCAAGATCGCACCACTGCACTCCAGCCTGGGCAATAAGAGTGAAACTCTGTCTCAAAAATAAAATAAAATAAAATAAAATAAAATAAAATAAAATAAAATAAAATAGATAAAATAAAGTTGAGCAATACTGTAGATTAGTAAGAGATCACCTCACACTCATTAGGATGGTTACTATTTAAAAACCCAGAAAATAATCAGTGTTAGCAAGGATGTAGAGTTTGGGCTGGGCATAGTGGCTCATGCCTGTAATCCCAGCACTTTGGGAGGCCAAGGAAAGTGGATCACTTGAGGTCAGGAGTTGGAGACCAGCCTGGCAAACATAGTGAAACCCTGTTTCTACTAAAAATACAAAAATTAGCCGGGAATGGTGGCGCACACCTGTAATCCCAGCTACTGGGGAGGCTGAGGCAGAAGAATTGCTTGAACTTGGGAGTTGGAGGTTGCAGTGAGCCGAGACAGTGCCACTGCACTCCAGCCTGGGTGACAGAGCAAGACTCCGTCTCAAGAAAAGAAAAAAGCATGTGGAGATTGGAACCCTTGTGCACTCTTGGTGGGACTATAAAATGGTGCAGCTGCTATGAAAAACAGTACGGTGGTTCCTCAAAAAATTAAAAATAAAACTACCACATGATCCAGCAATCCCACTTCTGGATATTTATCCAAAAGAATAGAAAGCAAGGTCTTGAAGATATATTAATATGCCCATGTTCATAGTAGCACTATATGTAATAACCAAGAGGTGGAAGCAACCCAAATGTCCATCAAGGAATGAATGGATAAACAAAATATGCAAAGTGTGGTACATATATACCATGGAATATTTCTCAGCCTTAAAAAGGAAGGAAATCCTGTCATATGCCACAACATGGATGAACCTTGAGGACATTACTCTAGTCATAAAAAACACTGTATGATAAAACACTCAGATAAAAAACACTTATCTGAGGTATCCAAAGTAGTCAAATTCTTTTTTTTTTTTTTTTTTTTCTTGAGACACGGTCTCACTCTGTGGCCCAGGCTGGAGTGCAGTGGTGCAATCATGGCTTCGGGCTCCAGCCATCCTCCCATCTCAGTCTCTCGGGTAGTTGGGACTAGAGGCATGCACCACCACACCTGGCTAATTTTTGTATTTTTTGTAGAGACAGGGGTTTCACTATATTGCCCAGGCTGGTCTCGAACTCCTGGGCTCAAAGGATCCTCTCGCCTCGACCTCCCAAAGTGTGGGGACTACAGGTATGAGGCACCGAGCCCAGCCTAAGTAGTCAAATTCATAGAGGCGGAAAGAAGAATGGTGGAAGCAAGGCGCTGGGGGAGCAGGGAAAAGAGTGAGTGTTTAATAGGTACAGAGCTTCAGCTGGGGAAGATGAGGAGTTCTGGAGATCTGTTGTACAATGAGGTGAATATACGTAGTACTATTGAACAGCACACTTAAAAAAGGGTTAAGATGGTAAATTTTATGTTACACATTTTTTACCACAATAACCAAAAAGATAAGCAAGGCTATCAGAGGGGGTGGGGCTAGGGCTTGAGACCAGGAGAGGCTGGGCGCTGGGTGGCCCTATAAGGCAAGAACCTCTCTTTTCCTGTCGGAGCTCTCCCTGTGTGAATGGGGTGGGAGGCCTCACAGGATCCTGGGGAAGGACTCATTTCACTGGGGCTGGAGCATACGCTTGCCTGAGCTTCTGGTCTGGCCAAGACCTGGGACTCTCCTTAGGGAAGCCCCACCGTAGGGACTAACAATGGGGAAGAGACTGCCCCCCATCTCAACAACAGTTACTGGGCTTCCAGGCAGCCAAAGGATGAGCCAGCCCTCTCCAAACACTGAAGGGAAGTGAATCCCTTCCCACCCTAAGACCCCCCAGAGAGAAGGCAGCCCCAGTGAGCCCCATCTGCCCTGGAGCAACTTGGGGACTGTTACTCTTGGACACGGCTGGTACATACCACTGAGGCTCCAGCTCCCTGCAGTCTGGCCTTGCTCTGCTTCGCCTCCTGCTTCCTCCCAAACCAGCTCCAGAGAGGGGAAAAATCCCCCTCTTCTCCCCTCCCTTGCGGGCTTTCAAAGCTCCTCTCAGAGCACAGCCTCAGAGCTCATCTTCACCCCAAAACACCAGCTCCACCCTGCTTCCAAGCTGCCAGCTCCATGAAAATCTGACTTCTACAGGTAGGTGTATGTAATGTACATGTACTCATAGAAAGAAAAAGCCCACAAGAAGACTCCACATGTATGCAAGCAATGTTTTCTGAGCTGTTTGTAATGAATATTGCTTGCTTTTATTATTATTTAAGAAAAATGTATAAAGCTCAGCTAAGTTCCTCTGGTTGCTACCATAAGCACCCCAAATCTCTCTACCTCCCAGCACAATGCACCCTCTCCTTATAGCTACAGGAGGATCTACAAAGTACGGAGTGTTAGGAGCAGTGGGATAAGAGACAGACAGGCAAGGAGAGGGAGCAGTCACAGTAACAGCCCCTATGCAAAAGTCTTCCCGACTCTTACAGAATATAGCCTGGAACCTCAAACGACCTGACCCCAGGCCAGCAAAGCCCCGAGTTGGCACTTGGGTCAGAGAAGCCAATTCCTACACACATACTTTCTTCACCCACAAACCCTCTCAAAGCTGCAGCTCAGGCAGAAAGCCTCTGACACATGGGCATGCATAGGACTCTGGAAAGAGATGCTGGAGGCTGGAGATGTGGAGCCAGCCCAGGAATCAAGGTGGCCTTAAGGTTAGGAGTAGACAGGATGGGCAGGGGCAGACAGTGAGTAGCTCTTCTTCCTCCTTTGGCCAAATTCAGCCCCATCCTGTTCATCCAGGCTAGGAGTATCTGCCCCTGAAGTCACACCCGTCTGCCAAGCAGCCACCCACGCCTTCCTGCTCTGATGGGGATGAAAAAGGGCATGTTCCAGGAAGTGCTGCCCTGCTTGGAGGTGAGGGGAGCATCTAGATTTTAACTACTTCTCAGAAATGCAGCTCCTCATCTCTTTCCTTCTCTAACCTTGGTGTGAGGGGCTCATGGATCCCTGGTATTCTGCAGGTGAGGGAATAGACTGCCTCCCCCATAGCCAAAATGAATCCTGAGGCACAGCAATCACCTTAAGTCTCGATCCTCAGTGGTCCTGCCAGTACCTCTTCCTTGCCCTTCCAATGCGCCTCTTCCATCCTTCACCTACTCCAATCCAAGCTCATACACTGACCCTGACCTGCCTTCAAGGGTTCTGGCCTGAGCCACCTCAGGAGGGTAGCAGCAGGGAAGAAAGTCAGAGCCAGGAATCAAGACATTAAGAAGACTTAAATTCCCAGATACAAGCTTTAGGCTCCAGGCTGGGGAGAATCTGGGCTCCTGTGGGAGAAGCTGGGCTGGAGCTGATCTTTTAGGGTAAGGACTGGGTCAGATGAGATTACAGTAACCCCAGGCTTCACCTGTCTGAGGCTTTTCCAAAAGGCATCCTCTAGGTGTCCAGGAAAGGGCTTTAGGGCAACACCTGGATATACGGTGCAGGACAAAGCAGGAGCAAAGCAAATGGGTCCCTGACAGCAGGCAGGGGACAGAGATGGGAAAAGCAGAAGGGGTGGTCAAGTGAAGCAGATAAGAGTGTCCCGCCCAGGGATGCTGCGGCCACAGGAGCAGGCCAGGCACAGGAGGAATACTTCCTTCCCACTCTACTTCCCCAAGGCCACGCTTGCCATGCACTTTCATCGTTGTAGACTTCTGTATACACAGCAGGATCTACTTTGTTCAAGATCCTTAGCAGGTGAGTAGTGAGTTAAAATAAGGACCTGTCTTAACCTAGCTGGGAATTAAAGTGCAGATGGGCACACTACTTCCTGTCACCCCATCCCTCACAAAGGCTGACAGATAAAGGGAGTGAGACATCCGGAGCAGCCTAGGACCAAACTGGGCAGATGGGCACAAGGCTCCTGCAGTGAGGAGGCTCCCATATCCCAACCCCCTTCAGAAGCCAACACCAGGCCCCAGCCTGCTTCCCTTCCAGATGCTGCAGGAACTTTCAGCCATGGTTGGGAAGTTAGAGCAGATGGAGGTCCATTTATCCTTTTCCTACTTTGGGCCAGCACCAGCCCCTTATTTCACTGCAGATGCTGCTGTGCACATTTACGGGAGGGCAGATAAGAGGAGGCAGAAATGACCCTTCTAGGAAGAGAGTGGGTTTTCTTTTTCTTTTAAATTAAAATTAAAATTCAACTTTTTATTTTTATTTTTTTTGCATCTCGTTGGTGAAAAAGAAACCAAGTTTTCTACAGCAGCAAGGAAAGATGGGGGCCCTGGACCAAGGAGACATCTGAACCAGGCCCAATATGGACTCCTGCTCAGTTGCTCCAAGATGCTGGGGACACTCCATAGCCAGCTTCTCCAGATGGCCCCATGGTCTTGGGGCACTTTCAGATTCTCTTACTGAAGTCCATCTTAGCTTATGAAGGGGTAATATAGGTGTGAATCCTTAGAAACCATCCCGCTCTTCCTGAATCTGAGATTGTCAGTCCCCCTTTTACTCCCATGGATGTGGAATAACAATCTCCCTGTGGTCCCATGTCTCGGTCCCTCTGCACTCACCCCCTCCTGCCATCTCACTGTTGCCATCTGCAGGGCCTGCTCCAGCCCAGCTGTAGCAGGAAGGCTGGGGGAGGAGGACATGGACAAACCTGTCATTGTCATCCACACCAAGTGGACCCTAGCTCTGAGGTGAGCTGAGGTGCCACACTGAGAGCAGCTCCAAAGGTTCCCTACCCAGGCCTCTCAATGTCTCCAGCTCATGGGCCTGGAGTGGGGATGGGGCAACACATCAGAAACTTTGGAATCTAAGTGTGTGGGATGGGTAGGGGTGTGGTGTGTATGCGGGGGTCCCTCCCTACCCCATCTAAGAACTTTTATTCTTGCTCACTTCAGAAGATAACGCTAATTAATCCAGATTCTAATCCACCCAGTTCTTCAAGGAAAGACAAAGAAAATAGGCTCCTCGTAGAGTCTTTTTTTTTTTTTTTTTTTTTTTGAGACAGCGTTTGGCTCTGTTGCTGAGGCTGGAGTGCAGTGGTACAATCATAGCTCATTGCGACTTCAAACTCCTGGGCTCAAGTGATCACTCCTATCTCAGCCTCTCAAAGTGCTGGAATTATACGAGAATGCCACCATGCCTGACTATTTTTTTTTTTTTTGGTAGAGACAAGGTCTCACTTTGTTGCCCAGGCTGGTCTTGAACTCCTGGCTTCAAGCGATCCTCCTGCCTCAGCCTCCAAAAGTGCTGGGATTACAGGCATAAGCCACCATGCCCAGCCAGAGTTTTTTTTTTTTTGAGTTGGAGTCTCGCTCTGTCACCCAGGCTGGAGAGCAGTGGCACGATCTTGGCTCATTGCAGCCTCCACTTCTCGGGCTCAAATGATTCTCTTGCCTCAGCTTCCAAGTAGCTGGGACTACAGGTGCCTGCCACCATGCCCAGCTAATTTTTTGTATTTTTAGTAGAGACGGGGTTTCACTGTGTTGGCCAGACTGGTCTCAAACTCCTGACCTCAGGTGATCCGCCCGTCTTGACCTCCCAAAGTGCTAGGATTACAGGCATGAGCCACTGAGCTCGGCCCCCTCTCCGAGTTTTTAACCAACTGGTGAACCATGGCCATGGCGAAGGCCACAGGGGTTAGTGGTGTGGGCTCTAGGGTCAGATGACCAGGGACAAGTTACCTAATCCCTCTAAGCTACAAGTTCCCTACCTACAAAATGGAGATGATTATGGATCCTACCTCATGGGCCTACCGAAGAGCCCCCCAAATGCTTCCCCACTACCATTACTATTATCCAGAAAATAAGACAACTCTCTTCAGTTCACCTCTGGACCCTGGCTCTGCAACCCTTTGTAGGTATCAAACCAGAATGCAACAACTTCAAGAATGAGAACTGAGGCCACAGGAAAGGAATAGAAGAGGTGAAGAAAAATGTTACCCTAGTCTCTTTCTCCTCCTCCTACTGTCCCAGTCCCGGCCCTAGGGGGAGGAGCAGCCCCTAGCAGGAGGAACCCAAAGCTCCAGGCTGGCTTCCCAACCTCCATGTAGGAACAACCTTCAAGATAACAGTTTTGGGGAAAGGGGAGGCAGTGCAAGGCACTTTGGCATGACTTAAACAGCACTCTCATGAGCAACCAAAGGTGCAGGGTTCCCCTGAAGGGCTCAAGTCAAAGTTCTCCATGTGCACACACTATCAAGAACCAACCCCCTTCAGTCTCCCAGGACACAGGCATGGTGAGACCTACCAGCAGAACTCTATATCACTATGGTCTGTAGGGTTGGCTTGGCACAGGGAAGGTGATGCTAAGCTTCGTGTCCTTCTGGGAGATATCACAGTCAGGGAACACTGGGGGTCCCAAAAAGCAAAGGCCAGATCTCCTCCTGCCTTGGTATTAATATTTCTCTGAGTACCTAGGACAGAGGCCAGCATTCAGCAGGAATTTGATACACATTGCTGAATTACTTAGGTAAACCCAGCACCTTCAAAAAGTTTGGTGTGCCACACTGTGCCTAAAAAACTTTTATCTAAAAACAAAACTTTAACTCTTGGACCTGGAGGTTCTTCATAAGTCCTGACTCACAATAAATTAACATGGCACATCTCTGGCTCTTAGATTCCATGTCCCACCGACTCTCATCCTTCATTCTACCCAATGTCCTCAAAAAGAACCCTCTTTGCCCAGGGCAGGTTCAGAATGACAGGTGAGGAGCAAAGAGGAGAGACAGTTCTGCCCAGGCCTAGTTACATTTTGTCCCCATTTACAGCAGATAATTAGCACATTTGGGTCTTGTTACACCAAATCTCCAAATCATGCATCAGACAGCAAGTGCCCACCCCCACCCCCCAAGGGGATTATGCCAAGGTTACAGGAAGATAAGCAACACAAAATGCCTTCAAGAGCCTTCCTACTTAATTTGAGACCCTCTTGGCAGCTGAACAAATTCCTGCCCAGTAGGGGGATGGAGGAGAGGCTTGAAACTGAGCTTTCTACTATGGGTATCCTTGAAACCCCAAATGCAGGGGACAAAAGGCATAAAGAGGAGACCCTTGTAAATGTCTCCTACTGAGCTGGGCTCGGCAGGACTGCTTGGGAGAGATGGCAAGCAACGACCCTGTTCCATCTCTCCTCTCCCAAGCCTGAGCTCGGGAGCCAATTCTGTTTCTATTTAGCAATACTGCCCTGATCACCTCCCCAGGGCTACTCGGTTTCCTTGAGGCTTCTGTAGAAAGGAACTAGACCAAGAAGAAACCGAGGACATGATCCAAAGGAAAACAGTATTCTAGGAAGCAGCAGCCACTTCTGACAGGGAGGTAGAGAGGAAGTTCCAAGTTTCCCAGCAGGCAAAGGTGGCCCTGGGCTCACAGTCAAGAGCTGCCCTACTCAGGTCCTACCTGCACGATGTCCAACACCATGCCAGCAGCCACGGTCCCAAAGCCTGCCAGGAGGAATGGAAACAGTACTTGCAGCCCGATGGAAAAGGAGGTCTCCTTGAGCGGGGAAGGTGGCGCAGGGCCACGGTCTGTGCTGACGTCGTCACTTTCGTTGCTCTGGCTCCCGTTCTCCAGCAGGGCGTCCTCCTCCCGAACCCCCTTGGCGTTGGCCCGAGACTCAATCACCACCTCTACCCCAGCCCCATCAGGCCCCAGGAACTCTGAGGTCCCAGCCAAGGGCTCTCTCCCTGGGCCATCTGAAGAGCAGGGAGAGGCAGAAGGGCCAGTCCCGTTCAGTTGGTGGACGTCCTTCGGCTCTGGCTTAGAGGACATGACAGGCACGGAGGAGGGGAAGGGAGAACTTTCCTCTCTTCTTTTTGCTTTCTCTCTTCTTCTCTAACTTGGGAAAGAACTTAGTCTTGGGGTGAACCCAGGCTTGGGCGCCGCAGGACCTCTTCCCACGGCTCTCCACTCCTACCAGGCACTGCAAAAACTGATCCACCAACAGGCAGCCCCATCAAGCACTGAAGCCGCAAGCTGGGAAGAAACAAGAAATTCCTCACCAGACAGCCACTAGGGGTGCAGATGCCTGACTCCAACCCACCAGCTCTGTGCTTGAAGAAAAAGTATCTGTCCTCTTATCTTCTTTGGTTCTCAGTGGCAGGCTCCTCAGAGCAGGGGGCATCCAGAGTAGAAGAGCTCAACCAAATTCTGGGGTGCCCTCTGAAGTGGCCCCTCTTCCGTAAAAAGCAGCTTGAGTTCAAATCTTTCAGAACACAGTGCCAGCCTGGGGCTGCGGCTCCTTCCCGCTCCTTTGGCTGGGCTCTGTCAGCTTCCCACAGCTCCTCAGGCTCTGCTGGTCCCAGCGCAGCGTCTGCCGTCTTTCCCTTCTCTTCCAGAAACTTCCTCCCTTCCTGGGAAGAGCTAATACCTCTTCAAATCCCTGGTCCTTAAAGTCACGAGAATCAGTGTGGAACACCTTATGTGGGAAGGAGAAAGAAAAGAAAAAGAACATTACACTATAGCAAAGGACAGCTTGTACTGGGAGAATTTCCCCCCAAGGAAGTTAGGAGTTCATCATATAGCTATAGAGTTTGCTATTTGCCTCCCTTTTTCCGCAAAAATTACTCAGTCCTGCACTGCTCCATCTGGAGGCTCAGCAGGAGCTATCCCCGCCATCCTCCCCACCAGCAACCCTCCTGAGGGATCACCACCGTGGTCACCAGCAATGAGATGTGACCAGCCTGGGATTGGGAAGATGCTGTGCAGAAGCCCTCTGCACTGTTTCCTCAGCAACTGGGGGTGGGTAGGTGTGTCCTCAGCAAGACCCCTTCTTGAATGCCCATTAAGAACCCTGCATTATTTAAGTGGGGTTCAGTTACAAATTCAGTCACAAACTCCCTGCCACACAGCCACCCCTGTATAAAGTGACTGCTTATCATCACAAGACAGCAACAGAAAGACAGCCACACAGGGCAAAGAAATAGGGAGAAACTGATTGCTGAGTGAAGTCCCCCAGACCCCAGATCGTTCTAGCTTCTGAGAAAACAAAACAAAGCTAGGAGGACTCCCTGGGCAGTGGGGCAAGCCTGCCAGACCAAGGCCAAGAGCCAGAGGCCTACCCACTCCTGCCCTTGAGAGTCAACAGTGTTACAAAGAGCTCAGACAGCTGACTCGGATCCAGGCCTCTGTCTCTCCCCGTCTCCCCCTGCTCTTGGCCCTGTGAGCTTGTCAGATAGGACAAGGGAGTTATCTCAGTTAGAAGGGACAGAGCATAAAACGATTGCTTATTACCCACGCATTTCAGTTAATTAGGCTCCTCCTGTTCCCCAGGGTTACTGAGAGTTGGATATAGTGGAATTCTTAGAAACAAAAACAAAAAAACAAAAGTAGCAATAAAAAAAACCCAAAACAAAAACCAAAGCACCGTAAGCCAATATGCACTTGCTCCAAATGCATCTCTTTAGCTGTAATGGCTCCACTTCTCTGCCTAAAGGAATCCCCAGGCTTCCTAATTCCTGATGGACTCCCATCCTATTCCATTTCACCAGAAGAGCTCTTATTCGTAAAAAATAAATTTAAAGAGAGTTCCACCAGGTAAGAGGAACAGGTCCTTAAGTATTCCAAACACACACAATTAGTCAAGTTCAGTTTAGGAAAGGAGGTATCAAACCCCAGGAACTGGCCCAGGAGAACTGTTTCCTCTATCAATTCAGTCACCCACCAGGACTCCCTTTTCCAATCTCCTTAAACACAGTACTGTGGTTCTTTCAAACTCCCTCACCAGAGATCCAGGAGGAAACCTCTGAGTCCAGTGCCCCTATGCCAGAAAAGTTTCTGAGTCCGCTAAAAGCTGACACCCCCGCCTCCCTCCTGTGTTCCTGGCAGGCCACTGAACCTGAGAGGGGGCTCCCAGGAGGGGAAGCCAGTCCTCCCTCACCACTCCCCCTGTAAAGAGACTTCAGACAGGCCTAAGGCCCTGGGACGAAAGAAGCAAAAGTGAACCAGGACGCCCTATCCCCTCCTCCCAGGCGGGGACAAAAAAGACCCATTTTAGTATCCCCAACCCCGAGGAGGGAGAGAAAGTAACTGGGTGGCCTCCTCAGTCTCTCCACCACTCAGATTCAGCAAATGCGCTGCGCGCCAGGACTGCCGCCCTCCACCACCCCCTCCCCGCCCCAGGACCCCACAGGACTGACCTGCCCCTCGCCTGGGAGGAAGGGGGGCGCCTGGCAAGTGGCAGCGTGGCCCGTGGTCTCGGGGGGTGCAGGGCACCCCCTCTTCTCATCACTCCTCCTCGACAGTCCTCCTTGGCCCCCGGCGTGCCCCCCCACACCCCCAGCCAAGGCGAGCGTCCAGCCGCGACACCCGGCTCGCTACATTTCGCTTCTGCGTTACAGCGAGGCCGCCGCTCCGCTTCCACGCGGGGGAGGTGGCCGGGGAGGGCAGGATATATCGCTTCGGGCCCGGCGGGGGGGCACCCGGACGGGGGACCGGGGAGCCGAGCTCACGCGCCCCCAATCGCTTCTTGCCCGCGGACTCGGGCCCAACTGGTTGGCTGCCGGTGGCAAACGTGATCTGGGGCAGACTGGGTGGCACCCCCCCCGCTCCATCAAAAATAGATTCTCGGATGGACAACAGCAGCAGCCAATCAGGGACTGGGGAGGGGGCGGGATCAACCTCGGCCCGGCCCCCTTCCTTCGCTTCGTGCCCAGGAGGCGGGGCGCCGGGGAAACGCAGTAGGAGGAGTGACGGGAACCGGGAGCCGGCTCCATGCGCCTGGAGCGCGCGGGTCCCAGCGCCCATCGGCCCGGGGTCCGAGGGGCCCGCTGCCCGGGCTCGCTGCGTGGTGCTACCGCCCCCGGGCCCGCTGCGCCGCGTCGGAGCCCCAGCAGACTTTGAGAGGCGTGTGCGACAGTGCGCGTCCTCTCCTGCCTCTGGATGTTTCCTTGGAGCCTCTGGCCTTCGGGAAGACCGGTAAACGTCCCTGTGGAGCCAGCCAGCCAGCCACCTCTGACCCCCGGGCTCAAGCAGCCAGCCGCGTGCTCCCTCCTCCCACTTGGTACCCGGACAGAACAGTCCCTACCTTGCTCTTCTCCCGCCGGCTCGTCACTTTAGGCTCCCTCCAGATTCCGCGTTCCTTGAGCAAATGGCTCACCCCTGACGAATCCGGCCTTAAAAAAGTCCCGGCCTTGAAAGGGGTGGAGACTGGCGGGCGGGAGCGAAAGGAGGTCAGACCCATGGCTGGGGTCGCACACGCATCACCTGAGGTCGGAGAGGAGGGGAGCCTCACTTCCTCTGACCCACTGAGCCTGGTGGCAGCGTGCGGAGAGATGTCACCATCCCGGACTAAATGAAATCCAACTTTCCCTGACGCACCTTGTGGGATCAAAGAGGGGTGTTCCCATGCTCACCTTTCGCCACTTCCTCCCTGGGGTATCTCCACCTCTCCAACACAAGCTCAATGCCAGTTCTCTTTGGGATGTTTTTGTGCAGGGGGTGTGACCTCCCTCATAAAGGAACCCCCACTCCCAAGTTTTCCCCTCTTGTCAGTGGAACCTGTGACCAACGGTTCCTTCCTGTCCTTTTCCTCCCTGAAAGTAGCCCGGGGGCATTCGAACATGGCTCTAGACCCCTGAATAGGGTTTGGAGCGGAGATGTGCCTGGGGAGAAGAGATCGCAGTGCTGTGTATGAAGCTTTGGGCACGTGCTCACAAGAGCACACACAGCAACCTGAGCAGGTCATTCCTTTTGATAAGGATGACAAATACACATACCAAACCCTGTTCCCCTCACCCACCCCAAACCAGTACCCCCAGGATGATTCCAGATCAGCTCTGGAGCATTTGCATCAAGGGCCTGCAGACTCACAGGACCTACTAGAGCAAAATATCAGTGTCTCAGACCCCAGTTTTGGCCTCAAATACTGGGTTTTTCTGCCAGGAGAAGTAGCTGCTAGTCTAGGAAATGCTGGGACTTGTCCAGAAAGATGAGGTTTGTGAATACGGGGTGTGGGGTTGGGTGGGGAATTAAGGCTGATGTATCTGGAGGAACTTTGGTTGGGCTGGAGGCAACTTCTGCCCTGTTCTATTCAACAGTTCCCTCCCCTCCACTACCCCATTTAATCTGGCCACAGCTCAGCTACCTGTGTATAAAATCTTGATCTCTCTCCTATTTCCTTTCTACCTTCCGTGTTTTTACTTACTCGAAAACTGTTCCCCTCTCCTGTGTGTATTTTTTTAATTGAAATATACCAGGCATTTAGGAAAGGAACACGAAACCTAAGTGTACAGGTCAACAAATGATGACACAGTGAACACCCCCATATGACCACCATCCAGATCTAGAACGAGATCATTATTGGCATCCCAGATACCCTCCTTCTATCCGCTCCTGGTGACTATGCCACACTCCTTCTCAAAAGTAACGTTTATCTAACACTACAGGTTAGTTTTGCTTACTTCTGAACTTTATATACATGGAACCATTCAGTAGGTATTATTTTGTGTCTGGCTTCTCTCACTCAATACTATGTTTATGAAACTCATCCAAAACATTGTGGTAGCAGTAGCTTATTTGTTTTCATTGCCGTACGGTATGCCATTAAATAAATATACCACAATTTATCTGTTATTCTGTTGACGGACATTTTGGTTGTTCCTACTTTGGGGTTATTATGAATAAGGCTGCGATAACGTTTTTGTTCATGTCCTTTGGTACACTTACGTTCATATTTATACTAGATATATACCTAGGAATAGAATTACTGGGTCATAAAAGGATATGCATATTTTTAGCTTTAGCAAATGCGACTAAACAATTTTTCAAAGTGCTCATATTAATTTACACTCCTGCCAGCAGCGTCTTAGTGTTCCAGTTGCTCTATATTCTCATTAACACTTGATATTGTCAATCTAGAAAAATTAAAAAATTTAGCCATTCTGGTGGGTGTATAGTGGTATTGTAGTTTAAATTTGCTTTATCCTGATAACCAATGAAGTTGACCACCTTTCCATGCATTTATTTGACCCTTGGATATCTGTTCAAGTATCATGTCCATTTTCTATTATTCTATTCCTTCTGTCTTACTACTTTTTTTTTTTTTTTTTGAGATGGTATCTTGCTCTGTTGCCTAGGCTGGAACCTCTTGGGTTCAAGTGATTCTCCTGCCTCAGTCTCCTGAGTAGCTGGGACTACAGGCACATGCCACCATGACAGGCTAATTTTTGTATTTTTGATAGAGACAGCGTTTCACCATGTTGGCCAGGCTGGTCTCTAACTCCTGACCTCAAGTGATCCGCCCGCCTTGGCCTCCCAAAGTGCTGGGATTATAGGTGTGAACCACTGAGCCCAGCCCTGTCTTACCACTTTGTAGGAGTTCTTTATGAATATCAGATACGAGTCCTTTGTTGGTTATAGGTATTGCAAATATTTCTATGAGTAAATAAATACAAAAGCCCTTGGTTTTGGTGTCTTCTGAAGTGTCAGGGCCACTGGAACAAGAATATAATCTCTATATCTATTTTGATCACTAGTGTAAACCCAGCTCCTGGCACATAGTAGGTACTTAATAAATATGTTGAATGAATGATGGATGAGGTGGATAAAGCTGATGTAGGTACTTTGCTCTGTATTGTGCTGATCCCTAGAGTCAAACACCAAGAGGACCTGGGGGAAGCAGATTTCCTCTGGCTTAGCCAGCTGTGACCTTAGGAAGAGGAAGACATCCTGGCCCTTCTCTACTGAAAGAGCAGAAATAGCTACAGTCTGTGAAATGATGAGCACAGATGTAGGGAGCGGAGGTCACAGATGAAAAGACAGGAACTACCAGCAAGTAGCAGGCCAGCCAGATACTTCAGAAGGAGAGACGCAGTTGGGGGTATCAAAAAGATAGTGAGGGTCTCTGAGCATCACTGTGGACCTTTGTATGACAAGAACCTCCAAAGGTCATGTGGACTCTCTCTTGCCTCAAGACATGCCCAGTCTTTGAGCTTGTTAGCCAAGAGAGCTCTTCCACACCTAGAAACACATTTCTTTCTCCAAAGGAGGTTCCCTGAAACTTTGGTTGGAGGGTCTTATTCCTAACCTGCATTGGGCAACTCTTTTTTTAAAATCAGCTTTAACTTCCTCATGGCCTGTAATGTCCATCCTGAATATGGAAGACCACCGAATCAGCCTCTTCTCCATGCACTGTTTTCATAGGCCTGTTGCATTCTACAGCGTTTTTCTCTTGCTGTGTTTCTCTCCAGCATCCTTGACCAGCTCTGGTCAAGAGTCTCACTGATTCCTGTTACTCTGGGAGACAGAAATTTCCCCTTGCACCACCCTAACAAACTCACAGCATCCCCTCCTCATGTCTTTCAGAACATAATGTGGCATTTAACTAGAAGCTAGTAGTAGCACCCCAAATTTTTATATAAACTGAGCTTGGGGACGCCATCTAGTTGGAGAGAGGCTGGGTGACTTGTCATGAAACATCATTTGTATAGCAAGCACAGTGTTTTCATTTAGAATATGAGCATATGTTGGGTGTGGGGTGGGAAAGAGTGTTGTGGCAAAAGGAATTGTTGATCACTCCACAGGCAGGGGCCTGTGGAGGAGCCTGTGTGGGAAGGTCCTCTGTGGGGCAGCATTCTTCAGTCTTGCTTGGCACTTGTCCTAATATGTGGTTAATTTAGCCTCTATCCTGAGGTTCTCTTAGCCCCATGGCCTTCCTTCTGGGCCAAGTACTGTCTACCAATGGCTTCTCCATAGACTACCTGAATACTCATCTTGAGACATCATAAAATTCCAGAGCCCCATAGATCCTGGACCCCCTAACCAGCATGGCTAGTTGTAAGACTAGCCTGACGTGGCTGGAAACTTTTCTATCTTTTGTTCTGTGGGGGAGGGTGCCCCCTCCCATTTTTCCCCTTGCTGTGACCCCTCCGCTGCTCCCTCCCTCCCAGAGGTCAACTTCTTTCCTGCTGCCCAGAGCTGAGGTGACATCCCCTTCCGGCTTCATTCAGTTTTAGGAGGATGTAGTGATGGGGGTGGGATAGGGAAGTGTGGCCATCTGTGCTCAGCACTGTCATCATTCCCTTTGCTTCTCTATAACTGAGCTCCCTTTCCCCAAAGCCCCCTGGATACCCACCCTGGGATTCCCTTAGGCAGGATGGTTCCAGGTATTTGGAGCTGCAGCTCTGAATTTACTGAGTATAGCTGGGAAGCCTTGACAGCAAACAAAATGGTCTGGTGAACTATAACTGGGGATAGAAAAGTAATCTTTGAGAGGCAGTGCTGCAGAGTGGAATATGCCACAGCATTGTAATCACATGGATTTGAATCCATGAATGGCTCAGCAATTCATTAGGCACATGACCTTGGGCCATGTCTATCAAATGGAGACATAATTCCCTTTCTGCAATATATGTTCCATGGTGAGCAGTTCTATGCAAACCTACCCCCAAAGTCTGAGAAAGCTCAGAGGCCAAAGAGGCTGACAAATCTGGTTTCTTGAAAGAAGCATTTAATAGGGACTTGCGAACAGAAGCCCTGTCTATATCCCGGACAGCAGTAAGACCAGGGCTTGAATACCTTATAAGGAAGGAATACCTATACCTTACAGGGAAGGAATGTGTAGGACAATTGTAGGGAAAGGCGAGAATGCTATGTGAAGTTCCCTAAGGGCAGGATTTATGGTCAGTTGTTTTAACCTAAGAGCAGGATTTATGATAAGTATATGGTCTTACCAAGGAATAGTAGATAAAATAGAAATCTTAGAGGCATTTCCAGAACTGGAGTTAATCAGAAGTCAACATGGTGGATTAGCATCCAAGATGGAGTTGCATTAGCCTTCACAGATGATGAGAGGATTAGGATAATATAGCATTTGGAACATTCCCTGCACGCAGTAGGACTGTTAAGATCTCACCAAAGAGAAACAGCCAATAAACAGGGATTAGGCACTTGGAACGGGCAGCTCAGGCTTTTTCTGGGCCTCACGTGAAATTTTAGACTTCCCAGAGTGTGAGGGCATGCCTACCTGGAAAGGGTTAATGATGGACAGTCTCTTACATAGATGCAGGTAGGAGCTAATAGGGGCAGCAACCCCACAGTGGGTCACAAGCCAAAGATGAGCAAACTTTATCTTGCAAGAGCCAGGATGCAAAAAGACTGTATCTTGCAAACCAGATTACCTAGTTTCAAACTGCCCTCTGTGTTTACTGCCTACTGCTCTAGGATTATCCTCTAGACCAGGGTTTCCTAAACTGGCCTGGTCATAGGAATCACCTGTTGGGAACTTCTTTTAAAATATAGATTTCCAGGCCTCTTTCCTGGAAATTCTGTTTCCAAACGTCTGGTGCTGGGCCAGGAAACCTACCCTTTTAAATAAGTGCCCCAGGTGACTCCCATGATCCTACTGGGTTGGGAAACTGCCCCAGTCTGGTGGTTCTCAGTCCTGGCTGCATATTAGAATCTCCTGGGGAGCTTTAACAAAAATATACCTTTGTCACAGGAGGAAACACTGTGACAAAGGTATATTTTGTCACAGGAAGGCAAGGCTCAGGAAGTCTTCAAAGACATGGAGGTGCTTTGATTGAATCTGACTGTGTGGGTTTATATGCAAACTCATTTAATCCTAATAATTACCCTAGGAGGTAGGCTGTTGCAATATATCAGGTGGAAAATGAGGTCAGTGGGTTGGAGAATGGTAAATAGATTTAAAAGTTATTTAGGTTAGTTGTTAGAGAATTGCAAATCAAAACCACAATGGGATACCACTTCATATCCAGTAGGTTGGCCATAAAAAAAAAAGAGAGAAAATAACAGAAAATGACAAGTGTTGGTGAGAGTGTGGAGAAATTGGAACCTTGTCCATTTGCTGGTGAGAATATAATGTGGTGCAGCTGCTATAGGAAACAGTTTGATGTTTCTTCAGAAGGTTAAACACAGAATTACCATATCACTGAGCAATTTCATTCCTAAGTATATGCCTAAAAGAATTGGAAATGGGAAAGAATTATTCCAGTTAGAGAGAACAGAGTGAAATGGCAGGAAGGCAAGGGAGAATTTGGCATTTTCAAGGAACAGCAGGTTCTTCAACATGTGGTTGGATGCACGTAGGGACGTGTTAAATGAAAGATGAAATGGTAGGCTTTGGTGATATGTTACAGAGCTGAAGGCTTCTTTGACATGAACGTATTGTTTTATGCTTGATCACAAAGTCCTTGAACACAGAGACTTTATATTTTAAAATTTATATTAATTTTGAAATACCTTATATTTTAAAATTTCTGTGATGTTTGCTGACACCTTGTAATTTACACATCTGGGCCTTCTTTCTCTGTCAGACCGTTACATATGGAGTCTCATTCACTTGCATAGTGTCCATTTATGATGCTCTGTTCATGATGCCCAAATATCTTTGTCTTAGACTTCTCTTCTGAGCTCTGAACTTGGATGTCTCAGCACTTCCAACTTGTGATATCCAAAATGCGCTAGTTCTCTCCCAGATGTCTATTTCTTATTCTGTCTTCTCCATCCCAGAAAAGAGGATTCCCTCGCCCATTTGTTTGTCAGCCATCTGGGAGTCATTCTTGACTCCTTCCTCTACTTCCCCGCCTCCTCGCCCACCACCCATCAATCACCATTTGCCATCCATCGACTCTACCTCCTAAATAACTTTTTTTTTGGATTTATTTATTTTTTGAGGTAAAATTCACATAACATGAATTTAACCATTTTAAAATGTACTATTCATTGGTGTTTATTATATTGATAGTGTTGAACAACCATCACTCTGTCTAGTTTTAAGACATTTTCATCACCCCAAAAAGAAATCCTGTATCCATTAGCAGTCAGTACCCACTCTCCCCTTCCCTCCCCTCCTCTCCCTGCTTAGTCAACCACTAGTCAGTTTTTGTCTCTATAGATTTCCCTATTTTGGATATGTCATATACATGGAACCATGCAATATGTAACTTTCTGCGAATGGGTTTTTTTACTTAACTTAATTTTGTTGTTGTTGTTTTATTTTTTGCCCTTAAATATTCTTCTATCCAGATGTTTTCAAGGTTCAACCACATCGTAGCATAGATCAATACTTCATTCCTTTTTATGGATAAATAATATCCCATTGTATGGATACAACACATTTTGTTTATCCATTCATCCATGGATGGACATTTGGGTTGTTTTCACCTTTTTTGATTGTGAATAGTCCTCTGTGAACATTCATATATAAGCTTCATTTGAATATCTTTTGTTTAATTTCTTTTGACCATATACCATTGTTGGGTGATATGGCAATTCTGTTTACTTTTTTTTTTTTTTGAGATGGAGTTTCACTCTTGTTGCCCAAGCTGGGGTGCAATGGTATGATCTTGGCTCACTGCAACCTCTGCCTCCTGGGTTCAGGTAATTCTCCTGCCTCAGCCTCCTGGGAGTAGCTGGGATTACAGGCATGCACCACCATGCCTGGCTAATTTTTTGTATTTTTAGTAGAGACAGGGTTTCACCATGTTAGCAAGGCTGGCCTCCAACTCCTGACCTCAGGTGATCTGCCCGCCTTGGCCTCCCAAAGTGCTGGGATTACAGGTGTGAGCCACTGTGCCTGGCCTTTTTTTTTTTTTTTTTTAACCTAGGTTGAACTTGAACTCTTGAGCTCAAGCCATCCTCCTGCCTCAGCCTCTCAAGTAGCCAGGATGACAGGTACACACCACCATGCCCAGCCTATGTTTAACTTTTTGAAGAAACACTAAACTGCTTTCGATAGCTGCTGCACCATTTTACATTCCCGCCAGCAAGGTACAAGGGTTCCAGTTTCTCCACATCCTCACCAACATTTATTATTTTACATTTTGGATTATGGCCAACCTAGTGGATGTGAAGTGGTATCCCACTGTGATTTTGATTTGCATTTCCCAAATGACTAACCTAAGTAACCTTCTAATTTGCCTACTTCATAGGGTAATTATTAGGATTAAATGATTATATATATATATACACATGCATACACACACACATGTGACTTAGAACAGTGCCTGGCATATAATAAATAATGTATAAGTATTAAAAAGAAAGTAGAAAAAGGAACAAAAGAACAGAAGGAAAGAAGGACCTCTTAGCTATACTTTCTTTCTTACTGTCCTAAGTCAAAGCCCACAATTCCACTCCTAATTTACAAGGCCCCAACTGGACTTCTTTTCTTTTCTTTTCTTTTCTTTAGCCAGAGTTTCACTCTTGTTGCCCAGGCTGGAGTGCAATGGCGCAATCTCGGCCCATCGCAACCTCCGCCTCCCGGGTAAAAGCGATTCTCCTGCCTCAGCCTCCTGAGTAGCTGGGATTACAGGCATTCGCCACCACGCCTGGCTAATTTTGTATGTTTAGTAGAGATGGGGTTTTTCCATGTTGGTCAGGCTGGTCTTCAGCTCCCGACCTCAGGTGATCCTCTGCCTTGGCCTCCCAAAGTGCCAGGATTACAGGCATGAGCCACTGTGCCTGGCCAACTCCTTTCATTTCATGAAGGTTTCAGGCTCTCATTTGCCTTATAGTCTTTGTCTACTGTATTCCCTGTCTGGCACAATTCTCTCCCTTGTCCCCCAACTCTTTGCCTAGCTAACTCACTGTTTTTTTGTTTGTTTGTTTTGTTTTTAAATTTAAGAGTTTTTTTGAGGTATAATATGCAATAAACAGCACAGATTTAAGGTGTACAATTTGATGTTTTGACATGTGTATACATCAGTAAAACATCACTACAATCAAGATAAAGAGTATATCCATGACCCCTGTGTTTCTTCCTGCTTCTTTTAATCTTTCTCTCTCAACCCATGCGTTGGGCCACCTGCCGTCTGTCACTACAGATGTTTTTCATTTCTAGAATTTCATATGAATGGAATCATGTAGTATATATCTTTTTTGTCTGATTTCTCTCATTCAGCATACTTATTCTGAGATTTATCCATGTTATGTGTATCAACAGGTTGTTCCTTTCTGCTGTTGAGTAGTGTTCCATCATATGGATGCACCTGTTTGTTTATTCATTCACCTGTTGATGGACATTTCAGTTGTTTCCAGTTTGGGGCTATTACAAATAAGGCTGCTATATGCAATGTGTGCAAGCCTTTTTAGGGGTATATATTTTCATTTGTTTTTGTTTTTCAAGTTTTGTTTTAGACTCAGGGGTACCTGTGCAGGTTTGTTAACTGGGTATACTGTGTGATGCTGACGTTTGAGGTATGAATGATCTTGTTACCCAGGTACTGAGCATAGTACTCAACAGTTAGTTTTTCGACCTTGTTCCCCTTTCCTTGCTCCCCTCCAACAGTCCCCAGTGTCTATTGTTGCCATCTTTATGTCCATGACTACCCAAACTTGTAAGTGAGCACATGTGCTATTTGGTTTTCTGTTCCTGTGTTAACTTGCTTAGGACAATGGCCTCTGGCTGCATCCATGTTGCTACAAAGGACACGATTTTGTTTTTTTTTTTTATGGCTGCATAATATTACATGGTGTATATGTACATTTTCTTTATCCAAACCACCACTGATGGGCACCTAGGTTGATTCCATGTCTTTGCTATTGTGAATAGTGGTGTGATGAACATGTGAGTGCACGCGTCTTTTTGGCAGAATGATTTGTTTTCTTTTGGATGCATATCCAGTAGTGGGATTGCTGGGTCAAATGGTAGTTCTGTTTTAAGTTCTTTGAGAAATCTCCAAACTGCTTTCCACAGTGGCTGAACTAATTTACATTCCCACAAAGAATGTGTAAGTCTTCCCTTCTCTGTAGCCTCGTCAACATCTGTTGTTTTTTGACTTTTTAATAACTGCCATTCTGGTTGGTGTGTGATGGTATCACACTGTGGTTTTGATTTGCATTTCTCTGATGATTAGTGATGTGGAGCATTTTTTTCATAAGTTTGTTGGCTGCTTGTATGTCTTCTTTTGGAGAGTGTCTGTTTATGTCTTTTGCACATTTTTTAATCGGGTTATTTGTTTTTTGCTTTTTCAATTGTTTCAGTTCCTTATAGATTCTGAATATTAGACCTTTGTTGGATGCAAAGTTTGCAAATATTTTTTCCCATTCTGTGCTTTGCCTAGCTAACTCTTACTCAACTTTGAAGTCTCAGCTTCAGTCATGACTTCCTCACCAGAGGCTTTCCTGATTTTCCAGACCAGGCACCATGTGGTATATAAAATAACACCTTATCTCTCAGACCCAGGCAAGAAAGCCCCCTGCCTCGAACTTAATGCTTTAGAAGGCATCATATAATATAACCACAAAGGAAATAAATCCATTAAAAACACAGAGATGCTTCTGTCCCTTGGGATTCTGTGCTCAGCACTGGCACAGAACAACCAGTAACACTGAACACACATTACTGAGTCTAATACAGTTCAGGCTCCGGAGGTCACTTCTTTATATATCTTGTTCTGTCTCATTTATTTAAGTTGATAGATAAACACTGTATGCATTTATTGTGTACATGATGTTTTGAAATATGTATACATTAAAAATATGGAGTGCTTCACATATTTTTGTGTTATCCTTGTGCGATTGTGTTGTTTTAATTGGAAATTTGTATTGTTCCAATTTTAGTGTATGTGCTACCTAAGCAAACACACTTTATGTCTTTAAAAAAGAAAAAGGTAACTGTGTCTGGATGCCCTGAAGGTTTGTGGGTTGTATCAGTGTGAACTTTGGAGGCCACTGTGGTTTTGGAGTATAGGCAGGAGTTGAGCTGTCAAAGTGCTTAGCTAAGAGAAAAGAAAATTAACTTGTCAAATGCTTCCTCTTAGGTAGCATGGCTGTAGTGGATTCCTTTTTTCTGAGACAGAGTCTCCCTCTATTGCCCAGGCTGGGGCGCAGTGGTGCGATCTCAGCACACTGCACACTGCACACTGCTTGAACCTCTGCCTCCCCGGTTCAAGCAATTCCCGTGCCTCAGCCTCCTGAGTAGCTGGGATTACAGGCGCATGCCACCACACCCAGCTAATTTTTGTATTTTTAGTAGAGACGGGGTTTCACCATGTTGGTCAGGCTGGTCTCAAATTCCTGACCTCAAGTGATTCACCCGCCTCAACCTCCCAAAGTGCTGGGATTACAAGCATGAGCCACTGCGCCCTGTCTGTAGTGGATTTTTTTTTTTTTTTGAGACGGAGTCTTGCTCTGCCGCCCAGGCTGGAGTGCAGTGGTCATCTCAGCTCACTGCAACCTCTGCCTCCTGGGTTCAAGCGATTCTCCTGCCTCAGCCTCCCAAGTTGCTGGAATTACAGGTGCCTGCCACCAAGCCCAGCTAATTTTTGTATTTTTAGTAGAGACGGTCTTGCCATGTTGGCGAGGCTGGTCTCAAACTCTGACCACAGGTGATCCACCTGCCTCAGCCTCCCAAAGTGCTGGGATTATAGGCGTGAGCCACTGCGCTCAGCTGTGTAGTGAATTCTTGCATGAAATACTATCTACCAGTAGTGCTCAGTGTCCATTTTCTTGCTCTGTTTTATGTTCCAGTTTCTGGTTCTGGAGGTACCCATGAATTAGTGTAGTGTTTGCAACATTGCACGTGGGAGCTAAGGAACATTTTGTAGTAATAAATAATTTATATTATCCTTAAATTTTTATATTTGTACCTCTAGATACAACATGTTAAACATGATACTGGTTCTTTTTATTGACATTAGATGGACACTGAATGCTAGAATTGCAAGTAGGTTTGTTTTTATAAAAATATTTCATTAGGCCAGGTGCAGTGGCTAACACCTGTAATCTCAGCACTTTGGGAGGCCCAAAGTGGGAGGATCACTTGAGCCCAGGAGTTTAAGACCAGTCTTAGCAACACAGTGAGACCCTATCTCTACAAAAAAATAGAAAAAAAAATAGCCAGGTGTGGTGACGTGCACCTGTGGTCCTAGCTATTCAGGAGGCTGAAATGGGAGGATCTCTTAAGCCTCGGAAGTTGAGGCTGCAGTGAGTCATGATCTTGCCACTGCACTCCATCCTGGGTGACAGAGCAAGACCCCCTCTCAAGAAACAACAACAACAAAAACCAACCGTCTTTGATTAGATTTGAATTTTCAAAAAAAAATTTAATGAAATGTTCAGCTCTCAAGTAGGAACTTTGTCTCCTATTATCTCCCTTGGATAAAAGGAATACTGGGTTTAGGATGGCCATGTTTTTAGCAACCCAGATTCACAATCAAGGGATTCCAGCCAAACTTTCTGTTCCCATTCTCTTTGCTTATGAATATTTTGTCTTCCTTCTCGCCTTAGGTAGTGAGGTGTAAAAAGCTTGAGCTAAGTCCTTGATAGGGGTGTAGGATGTACCTGTGGTTATCTGTTGGAGCTCTTTCATTGGGGGATTTGGGAAGTGGTCTAGATGGATGGGGACGGAGTGGCGGAAAGTCACCGATTTGTTGCCTCATCCCATCCAGAGTCTTTTGTTTTTTGAGATGATGGTCTCACTGTATCACTCAGGCTAGTCTCAAACTCCTGCCCTCAAGCGATCCTCCTGCCTCCACCTCCCAAAGTGCTGGGATTAAAGGCGAGAGCTACTGCGCCAAGCCCCAGCCAGTCTTGAGGCTGCTGTTGTTCCAGCCAGGCTGGGGACTTTGAACTGCTCTCTCGAGAAGCCTTCAGGGACCACTGGGCTGTAATTCATGCGTTCTCGGAGCCAGGATTTGTAGCAGTTCCCTCTCATGGGCTTCCTACCCCCTCTGGAGCTTTTTTTCTACAGCTGGAAGAGTGTAGTGAGACTAGAGGAGGAGAGGGTCTGCTGTTCACTCTTCTCCCAGTTGCTCTATGATCATTAGAGACCTGGTTGTTCCCAAACTCAGAGAAAAGGGAAAAAAGCTGAACCCAGAAGCTGGGGGTGGGGCTGGAAAGAAATGCTGGCAGACAGCGGGAGAGGTGTGAATAGGGAGAGTTCAGCCAGAGGAATACAGATAGCTAGAGCTAAGAACCAAGTCCAACAATAGAACAGCCTTTGTCCTTGACATCTCTCTGGGTCAGAATGAATGAGCCACACACCACAGGTTCTTGGGGCAGGCAGCACGGTGCAATTGAAGAAGTACTGGACTTGGGGATTTTTGACCTGCATTTCAATTCTGGGGCTGCCCCTTAAGAATGCTGTCAAATGGCTTCTCTGAGTCTCAGTTTCAGTACTTTTAGCACAGGCTTTGGATTCAGATAGACTCAGCTCCTGGCACCTGCATGACCTTGGACAAGTTACTTAACCTAAGAGACTCAGTTGCCTCATCTGTAAAATGAACAGTAACACCTTAGAGTTGTTGCGATGAGTAAATAAGATAATTGATGGGAAGTAGATTCTATTGGTACGTAGGATTGTAGAATAACAGTGAGTTTGGAGCCAGGTGACATGGGCTTGAGCCAACTGCCTGCAGCTAGATGTGTAGCCTCTCTGAGAACCAATTCCTCCCCTGTAAGAAGGAGTAACAATGCCTTCTTCGCAGGGTTCTTGTGGGTCTCTGCTGAGATAAGATGTATGAAAGCACTCTGTACAGCTCTGTAGAAATGTGAAGGATTATTTTTGTTCTTCAGCTCGCCCTCTAACAAAGGCTGAATAAGTACTGAATTGGCCAAAAAAGGGAGGGCAAAGGAAGGAATGTGAATCTTAGGGGGAGTAGCAAAAAAGCTGGAATAATCCCCACACTGTGTTTCCAACACTTTTCATGAAGCCCGAGCTCCAAGAAACAGTACACATCCAGGGAGGGAGGTGAGAAACTGGGGACTTGAGGGGGAAGGGGGTTAGGAGGAGAGGGAAAAGGAGCCCACTGCTGTCAAAGCCCAGGAGGACATGGAAGGTCCTTGCCTGGTGAGGAGAAGAAGAGGGTGTCTCTCGAGTCCCAGCTCCTGCTGCGTCTTCCTTCGTGATCCAGACTCTCTTGTGATCCACAAAGCACAGCTTCCAGCTTTGAGCCAAGAAATGCTGCCTTCCAGTGCCCCCCACCTGGCAGCTACTGAGCAGATTCAAATATGCTCAGGGTTGGAGCCCAGAGAAAAAAGACAGGAATTCTGCTGTCCCCAGTGGAGGCTGGTTTGTCCTCCTCATACCCCACCAGACAGGGCAGAGCCCCTCAAGCCAGCCTCCCCCTCCTCCTCCACTTTCCCTTGATCTGCCTGAACCAGGACATGATGCCAGGGCCATGGACCTGCTGGTCCTGAGCTCCGAGAGCCCTTCCCTTGGGAGCTCAGCCCATCAGATGTGCCAGGGAAATGTTTCCACAGATTAGTGCCTCCTGTGGTGAGACAGTAGCAGCAGGTGTCAGGAACAGGGCAGGGAGGGAACAAAGCCCAGGGAGCCCTTGGGAGGAGCCCAAGGACAGAGGCTTTCTTTTCCAGTCTCTGGCCTCCAGAACCAGGAGGTTTGGGGTTCCTCCAAAGCCCCTGCCTCAGTTTCACCTCTCAGTGACCAGCTGGTGATGCACAGATCACTTTATTTGACTGATTATGGTGACAATTATGGTAGTATCACAGTTTGGGTAAGTCCAGGTCCAGAAGTAGAATAAATTGAAGAGTAAGGGGAGAGATGCAGGAGAGAGAGGAGAGATGAAGAGACAGCTCATGAGTCCAAGAAGAGAGGGGAATAAAAGGGGGAAGAAAGTTCTAGTAAGAAGAAATATATAAGCTCTGGAGAAAGCATCCCAGCAAGAGTGCCCTAAATTAAAGACTCCTATCAGGTAACAACTGGTTGAGATTTCTCAAATCTACATTTGTTAAGTCAAGCCTGGAAGGTGAAGCAGTGAAATAACCAGCATAAGACAGATAAGGGACAAGAGGGCAGCAAATGCCAGTGGATCAAGGGATGCAGATGTCGGGAGGAAGGGAGAAGCCAGATTTCTGCTGACTTTACCTTACCCCGGCCTTGTTCTTGGGAGAGTTTAAGAGTGAGCAAGACAGATGGGCAATGTTTTACAATGTGGTTTTGATCAAAAGTTTCATCAACACTAGCTTTCCCCCTTGGGTTAGTCCTGTCCCGGGGTCGGGCATGCCTAACCCAGCAGGCCCCTTGACCTCACAGTTTGTGCAGGTGAGAAACTGGCTCCTGGTCTGTGTCAGCATTCTGAATCAACTCAAAGATGAATTTCACTTGGGTCTCATAGGCTTGGACTGAGATTTTCTCGTTGACTCCATGGATGCTGAGGAAAGTAAGGTGCATTTAGGGAAGGAGGGGAGGGCCAAGTGCCACAGCACAAGTGTTATCACAGAGCACTTCCCTTACTTCCCTCACCAACCCGGAAACTACTGGCCCTCCAGGGCTAGGAAAGAGAGGGGCAAGGGAGGGGCCATCTGAGATTTCGGATGCACATTGGTCGTTTCTCAGGGATCCATCTATGCTCGTGACAAAGAACAGTGTGGAATAAACTCCTGGGGAGTCCAAAATAATCTCCTGCTCTGAAATCCATTCAATAATTTGTCCTCCGGGAGAATTATCTTTTTTCTTGAGATAGGTTCTCACTCTGTAGCCCAGGCTAGACTGCAGTGGTACAATCACAGCTCACTGCAGCCTCAACCTTCTGGGTTTCAGTGATCCTCCCACCTCAGCTCCTGAGTTGCTGGGACCCCAGGTGTGTGGCTAAGTTTTTTATTTTTAAATTTTTTTTTGAAGAGATGGAGTCTCATTATGTTGCCCAGGCTGGTCTCAAACTTCTGGGCTCAAGTGAGCCTCCTGCCTCAGCCTCCCAAAGTATTGGGATTATAGGTGTGAGTCACCACACTTGGCCAAGAACTATCTTTCCAATTGTCTTTCTCTTAGGACAGAATGCCTAGCTAGACTATCTCTAAGCCAGTCTCCTACTGTCCCACTTACTAGGGCTAAGAGAGGGTAGGGAAGGCAACTGCCCAGGGTGCCTACCCAGTTTTCTGTGGCACCTAGAAACTTTACTATCAGACCTCACATCCACCAACCTGCCTCCCCACAGTGAAACAAAACAGAGCAAAACAAAACAAACAACAACCAAACTACATATGTAATCTCAAAGATGAAAGGAAACAGAGTACCTACCCATCTCCCATTTAAAAAACAAAAACATGAAAGCTGTTCTTAAGCTCCTATTCAAATATTTTCACTCTGTCTACAGAGGATTTAGGATGGGGAAATCAAGTCTGGACGTGATAAGTAGCAGAGAGGTAAATGGAAATCATCCTCCCAAACCCCAGGATTGAAAATGTGCTGAAGAACCCACAAAAATAGTAATTCACACAGAGCAGTTAAAATTGGTGCTCACATCTTGGATTTCCATAGTGCTTTCTTCTGAGAAGTCAAAACACGCATCCACCTTTGACCTCATATGTGTCTGCATTTCAGAAAATGCTGAGGAGTCTCCCCATTTTGTAAGTGGAGAAAACGGGGTCCAGAGGATAAGCCCTCTCCCAAAGAGAGGAAGAGCTGGGATTAGCACCCAAGGGTACCGATTCCACCAGGTTCTCCCCAATCACCCAATTATCTCCATCTTTGTAAAAGAGGGGCCAATTTCCATAAATTCTAGGGGGTGACAATGAGACTCTGGCAATAAGGACAGTAGATGGGTTAGGTTCTACAATGTCTCCATTTCATTTTGCCAAATCCTGGCTTTCCCCCTGATTCTGTGGACTGCCAGGAGCATGGGGTAGGAAAAGGACACATCAAGTGTATTTCTTTTCTCCCACCTGCTGCTCAAACCTGTTCCACTCACCGTTTGAAGTCTTCAGGCTGTATGTAGATGGGGTAGAACCTGTAGATGCCAGTGGTGAGGTTTGTAAAGAATCGGCTGTCTGTGTTGCCAATAGAAGTAACTAGAGAGGGAAGATCAACAGGAAAGGGGCTTTACATGAGCAATCAAACCAGCGAAGTGGCTGGGGTGTGGCCTGGCTGGAAAATCAGGACTACTGGATCACTACAGAGCAATGCCTGGGCTCTCCTGAAAGCGTATAGCTATCCTTACAAAAAGCACCATTTCAGCCAGGAACATGGAATCTCCTTCCAAGGGCATTGGTGAGACATCCCTTGGATGGACCATTCAAGGGATGTCTCACCAATGCCCTTGGAAGTGTCCTCTCCCCATGACGACCAGGGAGGCCAATATCTTCATTTCATACCCAAGGCCATGGCCATTTGCTATTCCCCATGACGCCCAGGGTGGCCAGTATCTTCATTTCATACCCAAGGCCATGGCCGTTTGCTGTTCCCCATGACGCCCAGGGTGGCCAGTATCTTCATTTCATACCCAAGGCCATGGCTGTTTGCTGTTCCCCATGACGCCCAGGGTGGCCAGTATCTTCATTTCATACCCAAGGCCATGGCCATTTGCTATTTAAGAAACCAGAATCTAGATAGCACTTCTTTATCACCTGACCTTTATTCTGTATCACTCTAGGTCAGAAATAAATACCCTCTGGGAGAACTTTACTACTATAAAATATCACCGTCTTGAATTGGAACAAAATTTCCTGTTATTCTCATCCTCTGAAGTCTTCCTAGAGTCAAACCTTAGGTCTGGAAAGTGCCAGGATACTCTCTTTCCAGTTTCCCACTCTCCTGAAGGTGGTAGCAGGTCACCTAGCAGAGGCTGGGACTTGTGCCCATAGGTGTGTTCTTTGGGAAAAGACACCCTGGAGGATCAATTCAAGTGTGTGCGGTGATTTGAGATGGTAATTTGTGTTTTGTTCCATCTTCCACTCCTGGTTTCAAATGGACATCCAGGCCCTTCAAGTTCCTTGCTTTGTGGTTGATTGCTGCCTATCTTTTTTCTGCAAAAGCCTGGCCCCATTGGTGGATTACAGTAAGTGCTCCAGAAGAAAGAGAATAGAGTAGGTAGCCTTTGAGGGCCAAGAGAGGAGAATCTGGGATTGTGAGGGCCGGGTTCCTGGATGTTTGGAGGAATCTCTGATTAAACCAAGAGAAAAGAAAACTAGACACAGGCCTTAATATTAGAGCATTAATAATTGAGCAATATCATTATTATTGAGCAACGTCTCTCTCCTTTTTTTTTTTTTTTTTGACAGAGTCTTGCTCTGTCACCCAGGCTGGACTGCAGTGGGGCTGTCTCGGCTTACTGCAACCTCTGCCTCCTGGGTTCAAGCGATTCTCCTGCCTCATCCTCCCGAGTAGCTGGGACTACAGGCGTGAGCTACCACGCCCAGCTAATTTTTGTATTTTTAGTAGAGACGAGGTTTCACCATATTGGTCAGGCTGGTCTTGAACTCCTGACCTCATGATCCACCCGCCTCTGCCTCCCAAAGTGCTGGGATTACAGGTGTGAGCCACCGTGCCCGGCTGAGCAATGTCTTAATATTAGAGCAATAACCATTGACCAGAGATTCTCAAACTATAGTTAGTCATCACCTTGTGTCAGAATCTCCTGGGGGTATTTGTGAAAAAGGCAAATTCCAGGGTCCCTTCCAGATTTGGTTAACCCAAATCTTTGTAGTGGGTCCAGGTAATCTGCATTTTAATAGTTCACTGGGGAGACCTATTCCACTCTTAGATTGGAGAACCACTGTCTGCAAAGCACAGATTTGGATGGGGTGCTAGAAGGCTGCAGAAGGGGAACAGAGGGGTGCTGCTGGGATTGGTCTGGGCTGGGAAACGTAAATTAGGTTAAGGCAAATGGTATGGGCTGGGAGGCTTTTCTGAGCTGAGGATTCTGAGCTCTCCTGCTGAGCTGTTATCCTAGAATGGATCAGAACCAGACTCTGGGAAGATCTTGGCCCCTTCTGTGGCTCCTAGAGAGGAGGGAGTAGTCTAAGCCAATTCTCCCCTCTATGCCAGAGTGGCTGGCCTAGGTTAAGCAAGGACCCAGGCTTGACTGACCTAATTTATTATTTCTGTTCCTTTCCTGTTTGCGTTCTCACTTCCACTCTGAAGGGAAAATACAGTTCTAGTCTCATCAGGAGGGGAAGCAGCCAGCTGTTTACAGGCTGAACATCTAGGGTGGGGGTGGGGAAGTAGACATTGGATAGGAAACAGTTCCAGCCCCCTCCTCCCTCCAGCCACAGCTGATGAAGTCATTACCTGGGGCAGTAATATTGACTTCCGGGAAGACGGACTGTACGGTCTGGCGGAGCAGCTGGTAGCCCAAGGCCTTGTCATCAGAAGGGCTGACGGGGAGGGGGTCAAAGGCACTCAACACATGGAACTGGACTCTGTTATCAGCCACAATGTTCTTCGTGAGTTCTAGGACCTCCAGGGTAGAAACAAAGGGGGTTCGATTTCTTATTGATTTCTATACATGTACAATATGGGCTTAAATATCCTGATTTCTTTCCAGCAAGGCAGAGCCTCAGGGTTTACAGACAGGACTTATTTTTTTTAAGCACTGGGACTTCAATTTCAGCTGACTGGCTATAGGTGATGTAAGAGCTGGGTCTTCCTGGAAAGCAACCTACAGCATGATAGATTTAGGTTAAATGTTTTGGGAGACTTGTCTTACAGTCATGAATCAGATCTTGAATTGGAACAAATTTACATGAGCAATCAAACCAACGAAGTGGCAAGGGGATGGCCTGGCTGGAAAATTGACTACTGGGTCACTACAGAGCAATGCCTGGGCTCTCTTGAAAGCCTATAGCTATTCTTACGAAAAGCACCATTTCAGCCAGGAACATGGAATCTCCTTCCAAGGGCATTGGTGAGATATCCCTTCGATGGAAAGTTGGATGGGAATTGGAAAATCAGGAAGTTATGTATCTTTCCCCTTGGGTGGTGAGCCACAGGCTGGATGAAAGTGTCGAAGACACAGCAGAATGTCAATCATCTCGAGGCTGGGGAATAGATGTGATGACCTGGCTTCAGCCTCGGAGAACCTCAGACAGGTAATAAAAGGGTCACACACTTTTTTCCCCCTCTCTGGGCATTTCTGCTTCCTGTTTGTAACCAGCTGCACTGGAGCCAGGAAGATGAGCTCAACACAGACAAAAAGTCAGAAGTTATGATACTTGTATTCAAGTTTTCTCTCTTTGCTTCGTTTCCTTGGGAAAGAACCTAAGGAAACTCCTAGAAAATTCTGTCTGAAACGACTAGAGTGAATCCAGAAAAATTCCTGGCTGCAGTCAGGAAGTAGACCAGACCCTGAGGATTAGGTCACATAGAGCCACGTGGGAATGGACCAGGAGACTGGCTTAGAGGGACCCTTGCTCTCCAAAGCTCCAGCACTAGTCCCAACCCATTTGTTCAGTAGTTGCTTTAAAACTGCCTCTGCTCTAGAAAGGGGGGGTTGTCCCATAGCTGCAGATCACCTGAATGGGGGTCATTATCTTAAGAGTACCTCTTTTTTTTTTTTTGAGACAGAATCTCACTCTGTCGCCCAGGCTGGAGTGCAGTGGTGCGATCTCGGCTTACTGCAACCTCTGCCTCCCAGGTTCAAGCAATTCTCCTGCCTCAGCCTCCCGAGTAGCTGGGATTACAGGCATGCACCACTATGCCTGACTAATTTTTGTATTTTTAGTAGAGACTGGGTTTCACCATGTTGGTCAGGCTGGTCTCAAACTCCTGACCTCAAGTGATCTGCCCGCCTTGGCCTCCCAAACTGTTGGGATTACAGGTGTGAGCCATCATGCCTGGCCAAGAGTACCTTTTTTTTTTTTTTTTTGAGACAGAATCTCGCTGTGTCGCCCAGGCTGGAGTGCAGTGGCACCATCTCGGCTCACTGCGATCTCTGCCTCCTGGATTCAAGCAATTCTCCTGCCTTAGCCTCCCAAGTAGCTGGGACTACAGGCATGCACCACCATGTGTGGCTAATTTTTGTATTTTTAGTAGAGACGGGGTTTTGCCATGTTGGCTAGGCTAGTCTTGAAACTCTTGACCTCAGGTGATCTGTCTGCCTTGCCCTCCCAAAGTGCTAGGACTACAGGCGTGAGCCACCGTGCCCGGCCCCAAGAGTACCTCTTTTATGCCAGAAGAATGTTAGGAGTTGAGTCTGGAGAGGAAGTGAAGGTTCCCACTTCTGGCTTAGAAACCACCATTTGAATCAAAACAAATATCCTGCTATTGGATGGGCAAAGGGGTCATCAAAGTGTATTCTCACTTCTCAGAGCATATTTTCACTCTAGCACTTATAATACAAATATCCTAATACAAGAATTAATGCACGGTCTTGACATATTCTCAGCCCATTGGCAAGTTTCTGAAGTCAGCCTCCATGAGGTGGGTTGGGACTGTGCCCACTGCCCCAAATTCCTTAGAAGTCCCTCCAGAAATCGAAGAAGGCATGCAGAATGGATCCCTTCAGTAAGAGGCTGCAGGAGCTCAGGTTTCCCACTAGCTGCTGGGCCAGGCAGGGACTGTGTCTGACTCAAGGGCAGGGACTGTGTCTATCTCATTTCCGCATTTCCAGTAGCAAGCACATAAAAGTCATGCAATAAATCTTGGATACATAAAATTTAAAAGATGTGAACCAATAAAAATAAGAATAGGTGTTGATTCATTAAATAACTTGCCATGGGTTATACAGTCAGTATTGTCAGGTCGGGTATCTGTCTGACTTTACAGGAATAATGCTTTACTGCTTCCTAAGTACGTACAGTTAGAGGTGGTGTGGAGTATAACCTGAGAGGAGGTGTTCATCTGAGATGGACTCCTTAGTGGTATGAATGTTTAGCCCAAGTTTCAAGGAAGGATATGAAACTGACAGAGACAAGGTAACAGATCGTCTGAGCATGGAGAAGGGCAGGCACAAAAATTGAGATGTGACAACCAACTTTGTGCCTCAGTCACTCACAGTTGTATGACCTTGGACAAGCTTCTTAACCTCTCTGTGCCTCAGCCTGCCTATCTGTTAACATGTAGATGATGGTAGCACCTACCTCATAAGTGGTGGTGACCATTACTGGAGTTAATATGTGTAATGTGCTGAGGTCAGGAGATCGAGACCATCCTGGCTAACACAGTGAAACCCCGTCTCTACTAAAAATACAAAAAATTAGCTGGGCGTGGTGGCGGGCGCCTGGAGTCCCGGCTGCTCGGGAGGCTGAGGCAGGAGAATGGCATGAACCCGGGAGGCGGAGCTTGCAGTGGGCCAAGATCGTGCCACTGCACTCCAGCCTGGGTGACAGAGCAAGACTCCGACTCAAAAAAAAAAAAAAAAAAAAAAAAAGGTGTAATGTGCGTAGGGCAGTGCCTGGCACATGGTAAGCACTCAAAAAATGCTAGCTGTTATTTGCTTATTTAGAATAGAGGGACCACCTTGGGCAAGAATCGGAGGTACAAGAATGGAACTAGGAGGAGAGACTTGTCAATGGTGAGAGACCTCAAAGGTGACTTTAGAGCACACGAATCTCTCATTTCTCTGATCTCCTGTTCTTTTTTTTTTTGAGACGGAGTCTCGCTCTGTCACCCAGACTGGAGTGCAATGGTGTGATCTTGGCTCACTGCAACCTCTGCCTCCTGGGTTCGAGTGATTCTCCTGCCTCAGCCTCCTGAGTAGCTGGGATTACAGGTGCCCACCACCATGCCCAGCTAATTTTTGTATTTTTAGTGGAGACGGGGTTTCACCATGTTGGTCAGCCTGGTCTTGAACTCCTGACCTTGTGATCTGCCCAGCTTGGCCTCCCAAAGTGCTGGGATTACAGGCGTGAGCCACTGCACTGGGCCCAGATCTCCTGTAGTTCTTTCAGTGCATTCTCACAACCTTATGTTGTTCTCTGTTTTATGTGTAGAGATATTTTCCTCTAAGTGAACGGTACAGCTGTTGAAGGCAAGGACAATGGATACTTAAAAACAGGTAAGGTCTTTAGAGTTAGCAAGTCCAGCTTCTGTCCTGCTGTAAGGCTGCTCATCAGAAAACTCAAGACAGGTTGTCATCCCATCTGCTGCAATATTTCCAGTGGCAGAAAGCTCGTCACTGCATGCTATATACCATTCCATTTTTGAGTAGTTCAGTTATAAATATCTTGCTTATAACTCAGATATGGTGTCCCGTAATATCTAATCCCTCTCCTTTTTTGAGACAGTGTCTTGCTCTGTCACCCAGGCTGGAGTGCAGTGGTGTGATCATAGCTCACTGTAACTTCCAACTTCTGGGATCAAGAGATCCTCCTGCCTCAGCCTCCTGTGAGTAGCTGGGAGTATAGGAGTGTGCCTGCTTAATATTTATTTTTATTTGTAGAGATAGGGTCTCACTGTGTTGTCCAGGCTGGTCTTGAACTCCTGGCCTCAAGCAATCCTCTGGCCTCAGCCTCCCAAAGCACTGGGATTATAGGTATGAGCCACTATGCCTGGCCCTGCCTCTCCTTTTTTTGACAATGAATATACTCCACAGGATGTAATATAGTACTAGACGCATCATAAACACTCAGCAGAATCTTACCTGTCAAAATTAGAGGGCATCTGTACTGCTTCCCACTTTGTGCTCTTGCTGCCTGGATGCTATTGCCAGGTCTTTGCTCCTCCTCAGAGAGGGCTTCAGTGACCATCACATTTAAAGGACCTCACTGCTGTACTTCTGCCCCACAATTACTCTGTGACACAGCATCCTATTACTTTCTTTGTGGTATTTACCACTTAAAAAAAATTTCCTTGCTTACTGCTGTCTCTTCGCTAGAATGTAAACACCATTAGAATGGGAATCTTGTCTGTCTTGTTCACCATTCTCCCAAATGCTTAGAAGAATGTCTAGTCCACAGTAGCTACCAATAGACACTTGAATGAATAAATGAAGGAAGAAAGGAAAGAATCTTCTCTACAACACTCTTATTGAGCCCTTTTAGTGATGAGGAGCACAATCATTGTCCAAGATAGCACATTCCAAAACTCTCCCTCAAGTGGAGACTCCCTCAAACATCTCCCACTGGCCTTCTCTCTACTCCTTCAGGCCCATTCAGGACACACCTTCCTTTCCACATGGCAGCCTCTTGGATTTCTGAAGGTTCTGTTCCTCACAGATAGGTGCTGGAGACCTATCTACAACTGAAGTTGAATATGGAGCAAGAGAACTCTGGGGGCGGCCTGTGTTCCTGCTGGATCCAGCCCGAGGCTCTGTGCACAGGGAGTGCAGCAGGGAGTGTTCCTGACGCATGGAACTGGGGCTGGAGGGAGAGGAGTAACCAGGACAAATGCGCCCACAAGCTTTCTGAATATGGAGGCTTTCCATTCCTCACTGCGGCACGTGGGCAGGATGGACCTAGGGATTCCAGGGGTTTCATCAGAGAGACCGGAAGGAAGGTCACTGTGGCAAGGGAGTAGAGAGGAGGGAAGAGTGCCAGGACCTGGGGAGATGAAAGCCCCAGCTGGGTGGAAAACAGCCCTTGGAAAGGGCATGGAGTTGGAATGAGGCTGGAAAAAAACTAGTGGAAAGAAGCTCAATGAGGGGAATTCAGTGATTTCCTGGCCCCATGAGACCCCAGGGAGAGGACAAAGGTTGGCACCTGATGAAAGGCAGGAGAACCCAGGGCTCACATTGGTCCTAACTACCCCCCACTCCCCCAACCCCCTCAATGCTGGGTGGCTCTGGGCAGGATGTCAACCTTCTCCCCGCTCTACAATGAGGAGTGT
The DNA here is from genome assembly GCF_000001405.40 of Homo sapiens. Lineage (NCBI taxonomy): Eukaryota > Metazoa > Chordata > Mammalia > Primates > Hominidae > Homo > Homo sapiens. The sequence continues at coordinate 205,838,073 of NC_000001.11, forward strand.
GCCTCTCTCCTTGCATGAGGACAATTAAAGTCCTCTCTGGGGAAGAACTTAGGAGAAAGGACCATAGAAGTCCAAGTGCCACTGACCCTTGATGATCTGTGGCACAGAACTGCCCCTAACCCTGGTATATTCTGGAATGTATTACTCATCTGATAGTCACTGGGTTGTCTTTTTGGATCTTTTTTTTGTTTTTGAAGCATTGGGTTTACCTTTTGAATTCCTTTTAGCTCAGCCTGATGTTTAAATAAGCTGGCATTTACTGTGGATGTCAGACATTCTGTGTAACTTCTACTCACCCTTCAGCTTTCAGCTTAAACATTACTGCCTTAGGAAGCCCTGCCTGATTCCCAGATGGGGTCTGGTTCCTTGTTATATTCTCTAACAAGCACCAGGTTCCTCTTCATTATAGCACTCATCGTGGTTTGCAATTATACATTCATTTTTAAACTGATGTTTGTAGCAGACCATTGCAAGGCTCTGGCCTCAACTCTTTTCTCTCCTAGCTCTCTGCACCTTCTTCCCATGGGCTTTTATTGAATCTAGAGGTTCCCATGATGTTAATGACACTCCAGCCTATATCTCTAGTTCATATCTCTCTCCAGACCTGAGGTATTTATAATTGCCTATTTCATATGTTATAAGCTTCTCAAACTTCCAAATTATGATATTCTTGAACTTGTTTTAATTTCTGAATTCCCAATCTTAGTCAAAGGCATTAACTACTTGGTCAACTACCCAGGTTAAAAACCTTGGAGCCATCCTGCTTTTCTCTCGCTCCATACCCATATACATACCACATCCTATTGAACCCACCTCTCTCCCACCTCTGGTGGTTGCTCTCTTCTCCACCCCACGAGCATGGCCTCAGTCCAGACCTTCACATGCACTACCTAAGATGCTGAAATAGCTCTCTGTCTCCTTCTCTTCCAGCACTCCCTCTGCAATGCTGCTAGCATGACCTCTCTAAAAGCAAATCTGAGTATTTGGTTGAAGACCTCTAAAAGTTCTCTCCTGCCACAGATTTCACAGATTAGGGCCCAAACTCCTCAGCATAGCATACAAGGCCTAGATCCCTAAACTACAACTCCATTTCCTATCAGTTTTCATCTCCTATTACTTGTCCCCAGTTTATTCTATTCGTTAAGCCACAATGAATGTCTTACTTCTAGCCAAGTTCTGTTTTTCCTCTAAGGCCCAGTTCAACATTTTAGTAGTCAGAAAAGACTTTTTTGACCCTAAGAAGTAGCATGAATTTCTTTCTTTGCAGTGGTCCTATGGCAATTTGTTCACCTCTAATTTTTATAATCATAGTTTAGGGTTGTGGCTAAAAGCACAAACTCTGGAACTAGACTGCTAGATATATAATCTTGGGTATGCTGTTTGATTGCTCTGGTACTCTGTACCTCAATTTTCACCAGTTAAATGCAGATTTAGGGTGGGTAGTTGTGAGGATTAAAATGTATGGGTATACCTTAGAAAGGTGCCAAATATGGCTGGGTGTGGTGGCTCATGTCTGTAATCCCAACCCTTTGGAAGGCCGAGGCGGGTGGCTCACAAGGTCAGGAGATCAAGACCACTCTGGCTAACACGGTGAAACACCGTCTCTACTAAAAATACAAAATACAAAAAATTACAAAAATACAAAGTACAAAAAATACAAAAAATACAAAATACTGAAAATACTAAAAATTAGCCGGGCATAGTGGCACGTGCCTATAGTCCCAGCTACTTGGGAATCTGAGGCAGGAGAATCGCTTGAACCCGGGAGGCGGAGGTTGTAGTGAGCCAAGATCGTGCCACTGCACTCCAGCCTGGGCGACAGAGCAAGACTCTGACTCAAAAAAAAAAAAAAAAAAAAAAAAAAAAGAAAGGAAGAAAGGTGCCAAATACACAGCAAGCCTACTACACTACTACATATATATAATGTTATATATAATGTTTGTTACTATAGGTATTGCTATCATTTATTCATACTCATCTTCCATTTCAGACCCCATGTTTACCCAAACCCAGGATCTCCAATCCTAATGAAGTATCCGGTGCATAGGTTGTCTTTGAAAAATGTTGGTTGAATAAATGGGACACTGGACCAGCCCTAGGACTGTAGTTAAACCCGGGCCCTGAGGGCCACATCTCCCTGATGCTGCATGAGTTGTTGTCTGGAACATATGGTACATACCTCTTGGACTGTCTGTCCAGGGTGAATCCGGAAGTTGACTGTGGCCTGGGCCACTGGGGGGATGACATTGAACTAGAGAGAGAAGCACAAAACCCTGGCTTGAGTCAACCTCAAATCTTCTACATCTGCCTGCCCAGGAAATGCTAATTTCCTCAGCTCAGGCAGAGTTGGCTGATTTGACTTAAGGACCCAAGGCTTAGCTTTTCTAGTCTGCCTCTTGTCTTCTCTGAACTAAGTGACATGTTATATTCAGAGCTGAAGGGGTGTCTCTGCTTTAAGCCAGACCTTCCTGCTTCTTGGTGCTGCAGGGGGTCACAGAGATGTTCAGAGCAAGGCTGCTTTCTCTGATCACCCAGATATCTCTGTTTTGGCCCCATGCTGTGCTATTAGAAGCCTTCTGTGTGCACTTTCTTTCCCAGCACACCCAGGACATTTCTGCAGCTGTTAACATTAGTGCTTACTCACGATGGGGCAGCCAGAGCCTCTGTTGACCCCCATCATGGCATAGCACGGGGCTCACATCAGGTTTGATCCTTGAGGGGGATGAGAAGAACACATACTCCTCACATATTCCTGGTCAGGCAGGAACAAAAGAGTGACAGAAAAGTAACCTTCAGAGTAAGAAAAGGACCCTAGTGCTGGCCAGTGCTCTGCCTGTTCTCACCTATTCCCAGCCAGTGACTGAGCCAAGACAGAGGGATCTGGCTTGTTCTCTAGGGCTGTTAGTATGTTTCTGAGACCCTAAGACCTAACATAACCTTTGGGAGCTGGTTCCCTCTTATCCTTGAGGCTGCTGAGCAATTGTTCTAACCAATCAGATAAGCCAGTCAGGCAGTAATTGCCTCCCCATTCCCGACCTTCTAGCAGGGATTGGTGGTTTCCCAGGTCCAGTTGTAAAATCTGACTTTTTTGCCTGACCAGGAGGAATCCAGGACTAACTGGAGAAAAGAGTTAGGCTATGGAGGGATTGTTCCTTGGAGGCCGGGAGACTCCCCAAGTGCATATCTTTCTTTGAACTCGTATGGTGCAAAAAAGCACTAAGTGGTCAGGGACAGAGCTGGGCTGTTGCAAATTAGCTGTTGCAACCTCTTTGTGCCTCTGTTTTCTCAACTGGGTATTGGGGCAATACTCATAGGACTCTTAGAAGGCTCAGATGGAGTAACAAAGTATCCTGGGGAGATGAAAACACCATTCAAATGTCAGGACACAGTGCTATTATTCTGATGAACACTACAGCTGACACACTGGACGGTCCAGTGAGTTATGCCAGGAATTAATTCAGAGGCATCATTCACTTATATACCCGATTACTAGAGTGCTTCAAGGTCACATTGTACTCTAGGTGAATGGTGCCCCCTGAAGTTGTGCTGGTGGTACTGGCAGTTACAAGAATGGTCTAACTCCCTTCAAGATTTCAGAAAGGCCTATGTCTTTGCGTGGCTAGGCTTGGATCCAGCTGACACACACAGAAGGAAGGAAGAGCCAGTAGATAGATTCAAGGAAGGGAGGAGTGGAGGGCGGTAGGGAAAAGCTATATGGGGAGGAACCAGGGATGTTACCTTGACCCCTGCTTTGAATATGGTGAGTGCCGTGGTGGTCCTGATTATTGCATTGGTTAAGGGATTTCTCTCCATAAACCTAAAACAAAAGGACCAAGGTCAGATGTTAGAAAGAACCAATGGGGTGAAGGAAAGGGCGGAAACATTACCCACTTTCCTGAACCTTGGGGATCTTTAAGACTGAGAGAGACGTCTTAGAGATGTCTTAAATATACACACTTAGAGATGCAGTATCTGGTGGCTGAGGGATGATTAGTCAGGCCCAGTTAAGCCAAGGAGAGGGGCCTGGGGGGTGGGTAGGTTTGAGGTGAGGGATGTGAAAAAAGGAAAGATAATACTTTACCTGCTTATAAGTGGTTCAAATAGCCATGGGTTGCTCAGGATTATATTGACAGGGAAGGGAAACTGGGAAAGAACAAGGTCAGCACCACAGGGTCACCTCTAGTTTAGCCTGGGTCTCTGAGACCTGAGTCTCTCTCTACTTTAGAGCTGCCTCAGGGGCCCTTAGCAGTCAGGAGTGCTGCTAAATTCAGTTAGCTCAATCCCTGCTAGAGGATCAGGAATAGGGAGGCAATTACTGTCTGGCTGGGCTTATCTGGTTGGTTAGAACAATTGCTTAGCAACCTCAAGGATAAGTGGGAACCAGCTCCCAAAGGGTAGATTAGGTCTTAGGGTCTCAGAAACACACTAACAGCCGTAGAGAACAAGCCAGATCCCTGTGTCTTGGCTCAGCCACTGGCTGGGAATAGGTGAGAATAGGCAGAGTGCTGGACAGTACTAGGGTCCTTTTCTTACTCTAAAGGTTACTTTTCTGTCCGTCTTTTGTTCCTAGCTGATTAGGAGTATGTGATACTTCTTCCCATACCTCATTTGCCAGTTGCTGCAATACAGTCACCACTGTCCCGCTTCCAAATATGATAGGCATTGGTGTCTGCTCCAATCTGGAAGAGAAACAGAGTCCTCAAGACTTAGCGAACCCCAGCCAAAGATCAGTGGCTTGAAGAGGAGAAGAAGGGAGATAGGAGGAAGTTTCAACGCTCCTGGCCAAGAGGTCTCTCATTCACCTCCCTCCCACCTCCACCAACTCAACATTCTGAAGATCTCAAAACATCCCCAGGAGCTTTCCCTGTCTACCAAGTCTGCATTAGGGTCCTTCTTTCCTCCCTCTGCTGTTCTCTAGAATCCTGTGTGTCCACTCTCATAGCCCATCCCATACTACAGCAGAATTGTCAGTCTCCTGACAATTTGAATGAATATAGCACTCCTTCCCACTTTGCTAAGAAAACCCAGCCAGGAGTAAGCTCTGCTGTTACAGATTCTGCTGTCCTCATTCATAGCCAGCAACTCTTATTTATTTTTGTCCTCCTGCCAGGACAGGTGGAGAATTTCGACAGCTCTACCAGTCATTGCCAATTTGTGATTCTAAATGTCTGGACTCTGGACTACTCTAGCTGCCTGACCTAGCTTCTGCCTGTAGGTCCTTGCTTTCCATATGGATATACTGACAGATCCTCTTCTGACTCCAGCCCTTGCAGGATACTGGTGGCTCTGTCTCTCCTGTGGCTCCCCCAACCCCCACCTTGGAAGGAATTCTCACTCCATTTGAGATGACCCCAGCCTGGTATCTGTGAGCCATGCTGAGATAACTCTTTATTTACACCTGTTGTATTAATCACCTGGATCTTTAGTCTGTCCTGGGCTTCCCCTTCTGTTCTTCCTCTAGTGTCAATTTTTTATAGCATAGTTTCCCAGCCCAACTTTAGGGCAGGAAGCTTAGCCTCCTCAAATTTAAAGTGGGAAAGTGCCAGGGCTTCCATCTCAAGTCTGGCATGGGAACAGGGCCAGGAGTTGCTTACCGGCTGACAGCAGCTGCAAGGATGCCAATGCTTGTCTCCTTTGGAGGAGCTGAAGAGTGGCCTGAAGTCATGTTTACTTGCAGCATGAGGTTCATGGAACCCTTCTCTGAGACTGCAATCCTGTAGAAGAGGATCGGAAACCACTCTCCTGACTTCTTGCCTCTCTGAATTCTCCCATAGGCCCATAGGTCCATCTGTGCAATAGTCTAGTGGGCAAGGAGGTAGCTTCATGCTGCTTTAAAAATTTTATACTGGAGGAAGAATGGAAGGGGAAGCCTAGGAGAGGTTAAAGATTGGGGCGATTAATGCGAGAGGTGTACACAAAGAGTTGTCTCAGCATGGCTCACAGATACCAGGCTGGGGTCATCTCAAATGGGGTGAGAATTCCCTCCAAGGTGTGGGGTGGGATGCTTTACTCACAAGGCGATGGGCTTCTTGAAGTTAGGAATGAAATCATCCAAGATGAAGCCCCCCTCGTCCACAATGAAGGCTAGCTGGACGCCCCTTGACTGTAGCAGGGCTGAGATCCTCTGAGCCCCTGTCCCTGATGACTGCAGACATGGAACATAGAGCTATAGTCCTTCTCAGCCAGAGACAGACCTCCAGACATAGCTAATGGGGACCTATTCAGCCTAGCTAGGGGCTCCAGAACCTTTCTACCTAGTCTCCTTCCTGGGAGCCAGGGCCCTAGAGAATCCTGCCTTACAGAATTCTGGAATGTCAGAGCTGGCAGGCCTCACCCTCCCTTATTTCACAAATGAAGAAACTGGAGCCAAAAGAGTGAAGTGACTTGCCCAGGGTCTAAGTAAGTAGCATCATTGGAAATAAAACGCAGTCATCACTCTCCCTTTTCAGTTCTTTTTCCATCACACGTATGTTTCTTAGGGTATAGGTGATGGACCCACTGCCTGCCTCAGATATTATGAAGGAGTTTGTTAAAAATTCAGATCTAGGGCACAGGGCCCAGGAATCTGAATTTTGGTCAAGGTCCTTAGATAGTCCTGGCATACAGACACACGGAGAAGTTGGCAAACTACCGTATCATGGAGACCTTGCTGCTGTGGGCAAACTGGACTAGGGTTAAGCACCCACTCCCCTACCCTCAACAGAGGACAGAGATAGGTATAAGGTGAGGAGGCTCTACCTCCTCATCATGGCCCAGAGAAATGAAGAAAGATCTTCGGGGGATGTACTTCCTGATCAGCAGGAGCTCCAAGGCCTGCAGTAATGCCTGGGGTTCAGAAGCACAATGGAAGAGGAAAAAGACGTTATTTAGGTGGGAATACCAGGGTATCAGAGACATTCAGTTGCCTGTTATCAGGGCTGGTGGGATGAGGATGTGATAGATTCTCTTGAAAGAGAACAGATTCAAATGGTACAGGGGACCTGATGCGGAGAAACAGAACGTTTACCACCTGGAGAAGAGCATAAACATATCAGTGTCAGGACTGAAAGGGTCCCTGGGGACCATTCAATCCCATTTACAGCTGAGAAATCAAGGCCCAGAGAAGGGAAGTGACAAACTGATGGCTGGAACCCAGGTCTCCTGGAGCCAAGATTCTTTTTACCATTATCTCCCACCTCCCAGGGTCAGCCAAGCACCCCCATCCTGATTGATCTTTAGGGCCCCAAGGCAGAGGGAACATTGCATCTCAGACCATCACAGAGTTCTTGTCGTCCAGTGTGCCCCGACCATAGATGATGCCATCACGCTCCAACCCAGAGAATGGGGGCACCTCCCAGCCTTCTTCAGGGGCAGGCACCACATCAAAGTGAGCCATCAGCAGGTAGGGCTGCAAGCTGGGGTCCGAGCCTTGGATAGTGAACAGGTGGCTATACTCTTCCACGACTTCATGCTGGATAAAGCTGGTGCTGACCACTGTAGGAAAGACTAGAAGCAAAAAGGGCAGGAAGAGAGAACCAGGGTTAACAGTTTCCTTAGGTTTTCCTACCAAGTTGTGCTTCCTGTTCCTTTATTTATTTATTTTTTTAAACATGCATCCTCCTTTAGGAAGCCTTCTAGGACAAAGCTAGTCTGATTCCTGATCTACCTGGACAATCTTTGAAATTCGTCTTCCCCATATTTCAATGTGCTATTACTATGTAATAAATGCAAATCAAGAGCCACCATTAAGGCCAGGCTTGGGGGCTCATGCCTGTAATCCCAGCACTTTGGGAGGCCGAGGCAGGTGGATCACCTGAGGTCAGGAGTTCCAGACCGGCCTGGCCAACATGGCGAAACCCTGTCTCTACTAAAAATACAAAAATCAGTGAGGTGTGGTGGCTCATGCCTGTAATCCCTGCTACTCAGGAGGCTGAGACAGGAGAATCGCTTGAACCTGGGAGGCAGAGTTTGCAGTGAGCTGAGGTTCCGCCATTGCACTCCAGCGTGGGTGACAAGAGCAAAACTCCATCTCAAAAAAAAAAAAAAAAGACTCGGCCAGGCGTGGTGGCTCATGCCTGTAACCCAGCACTTTGGGAGGCTGAGGCGGGCAGATCACTTGAGGTCAGGTGTTCGAAACCAGCCTGGCCCACATGGTGAAACCCCGTCTCTACTAAAAATACAAAAAACAGCTGGGCGTGGTGGCACGTACTTGTAATCCCAGCAACTTGGAAGGCTGAGGCAGGAGAACTGCTTGAACTCAGGAGGTGGAGGTTGCAGTGAGCCGAGATCACACCACTGCACTCCAGCCTGGCTGACACAGCAAGACTCCAACTCAAAAAAAAAAGACTCACTATTAAGATGGTCAATATCTCAAGCTCAGGCTTGGTCAGACCTATAACATGCTATCACAAGTACGTGTTAAAGGGCTATGCAGATGAGGGATGCATTAAATTTTGACCATAGGAGGCCGCATTAACCAAATTATATTAAATTATTATATTAAATTAGTAGGCCTCATTAACCAAATTATATTTAAATATTATATTAAAAAGTTCAGAGACATTTTTCTTTTTAAAAAGCCACACATCTAGTGTATGTGTTATGTGAACATAAAGATTATTCTGTTTAGCACAAGGTCGTACTTCTGCGTGCAGGTGTAGATGTTCCTAGGGTCAATTATTCAAGCGACCTTAGCTACATAGGAGAAATAAATTTTATCTCTCTCTGGGTTTTTTGGAAGAATTCACATAAACTTCTGTGGATACCCGAAAACCGAAGAAGACTATGGTTTTATCTTGTCACCTAGCTTATCCAGTTTACTGTCACTATACATTTCCTTTCCTATGTTTGTCTCCTATTTAGTAAAGACTTGCAGCCTTTTCAGCCTGGCCTCAGCTTGGCTACTGGGCATTAATCCCTGAGCCACTCATTTTTGTTTTTTCCTTCCTTCCTTTCTTTTTTTTTTTTTTTTTTTTTTTTTTTCAGAGACAAGGTCTTGCTCTCTCACTTACACTCGAGCACAGTGGCACATTCATAGCTTACTGCAGCCTTGAATTCCTGGAATCCAGCAACCCTCCCACCTCAGCCTCCTGTAACTAGGACTACAGGTGCTCGCCACCATGCATGGCTAATCCCAGAGCCATTTGTCCCAGGGTGTTAGAGAGGGGGCTGCTTGCTGCTCCTAGGCCACCTTCTCCCACCTCTGACAACTTTGGAGGGGTTGTTTTTAATTAGATTTAGGAAGGTAATCTCATCACTCTCCATGAGATTTTCATAAGGGGAGGGAGGAGTTCCAAGAATCCTTTTTTCCTCTGACCCATCCTTCCTCAGCTCTGTACTCAATGGGTGGTAGGGATGAGGGAAAAAGACTGATGTTATAGCTCAAAGTTGTTGACTGCCTAGAGGCCTAGAAATGTGTTAGTAATGAATCTGGGGTAGGCCTGAGTACGTGGAGTGTATATGTACCGGTGTGTTTGGGTGTGTAAGGAGGTAGGGGTGGGAGGAGCATGGAACATAGTTCTGGGCAGTTGCACAAGTAGAAGGAAATCCTAGTTCTACTTTTTGATGATTTAACATTTATTGAATGACACACATGTAGGGCAAAATTTGAGAGAGTTTGTACTCTAATGCAATGGCTGGATGAACTCTCAATCTTTGCCCTACATATGGTGGCTTAGTTTTTCCAAGAGCAAATCTACAGTCTCTACTCTGCCTATGGGAATTAGATTGTCCTCTGATCAGTCGCAAAATAAACTTCTTTATCACTTTGTAAAAGAACTGTGTCTCCATTGCTATTTCTACCACCCACCCCTTGCCCCTGATTTGCAGCTGACCTTTATGAATGTATTTTCCGAACTCAGCCAGGGCTGTAGTATTGGACTTCTCAGAGCTAAAAGTCACTGTTGGAATCTGGATGGCACCTGTCAGAGTCAAATAGAGATGAAAGATTGAAAATGAATTAGTCATTGTTTTTTTCTACAGTCCTCTGTGCACAAAAAGTTCTTTTGCCTTCATTATCATATTGCAGAGGGCAAAACACTAATGTGAGGTAGGCGCTATTGTTTCCTCTAATTCGAAGATGAGGGAAAATGCTTGGAGAGGTTAGGTGAGCTGTCTGAGCAACAGGCAGACTATAGATTTAAACCTATGTCTTCTGGGTTTGTTTAGGCTGATATGGTTCTTAAAGGCAAATACAGTCTAAGATTGGAGGGAAGTGGATTTTTGGATCCTGGTCTTGAAGGGAAGCTACTATAAATTGCTTCCTAAGGCCTCACTACCTCTGAAATCACCAATTGCTTTGATGAATCCAAGCTTCATCATTCTCAAGGCACCCACTGTCCTGGGTCCCTACATCAATGAGGCTTGTGTGTTTTTGTATGTAAAGGCTTATTCCTTATGCAGAGTCTCACTAGTCTGTCAACCAAGACCAGCTTTTTGGGCATATAATGCCTGGGAAGGGGTGGATTTAGAAGCCTCCAAACAAACTCCTCAGTCCTAAAATAATCTCACCCTCCTTACTCAGTTGTCTCAGTTCCTGAACCTTCACTGGGCTCATCCCTTTGAGTCTTTAAGACTTTACAGTTTTAAAGAGTTCCATGATCAAAGACAAAACCACTGGGAGGGAAAGCATGAATCATGAGAATATTGAATTAGACTGCTCTCCAAGAACACAGTGCAAACAAATTCACCTGAGGCAGGAAGGGTCTCTGAAAGACAAACTTCATCAGTTTTGCTAAGGATCAACCCTACAATAGCATAGCCCACCAGATAGATGGGGAAGCCGAGGTTCAGAAAGATTCAAGTGCCTACTCAAGGGCAGACCCAAGGATCTGATCTCAGGTGTTCTGTCCCCTGCTCAGAGTTCCAAGCTGTGTTGCTATGAGGTCCCTATTCTAGCTTATGTAGCTTTTGTTCTCTTCTGTGCAGACTGTGAGTGGCTGTCTAATGCCTTTTAGAGAATTATTTATGCTTTGGGAAAGCCCTGCTCTGCCTCCCAGGCTTGTCACTCTAGCATATGAACAATCTATATCCAACTATTGGGGTTAGCTTTTGGTCCCTGCATCTGCTTCTATATGTTTATGCAGGCAGTCTCTCTTAATCCATTACTTAATGAAAGGGAAAAGACTGGAGCTAAGCTGAATGGTAAAGAAGGATTTCATCCCATAGGATCTAGCACTCAACAGAAACTTTCCTGTTTCCTGGAAAATGCAGATTCAGAACAGGGATGAATTTTTGGTCTGGATTAGAGATCTAGAGGAGACATGTTCTTCAATTATGATTGAGAATTAGGAACATCCCACACCCCGGGAACACTCCACTCCCTTTCTTTAGAGCCATCTGATCCCAGCGAGTCCGACAGGCACTAGATGCTGTCACCCACTGCCCACTCTTTGCTGTGGGGCCCTGGGGAAGATCATTTAGCTGACCTAAGCCTCAATTTCTCTCCTTTGTAGATAAGACTAATATCATTTGTCTTATTTTACGACACCGCAGTAATTTATCAGGCATGCAAACTTTCAAAGGTTAAAATTGATGTACAAATGAAAGCTGGTGTAATACTCGAGGCAAGCAGGGGAAAGAATGGACGGTGGTCACGCCAAGAGGGGTGAAGTTGGAGCTTCCAGGTTAGGCAGGGCACACCAGAGTTCCAGGAGCCAGGTATGGGGGAAGTGTGGCGTCCCCAGACAGGGGCACGATGTGCTGGGAAGGGTGTTGGGGCCGGGCTGGGGTGCGTGTCGGGGCTCCAGCTGCAGTAGCAGATGCTTTGCGGCGGAAGCGGGGAGTCACGGGTTGACCTGGGGAGGGAGGGACCCACATATGAGCATAGGTGGGTGAAGGGGACCCGGGTTCACCTTTCAGCGCCTCTTTCATCGCGACGCGTTCCTCTTTGCTGAACTGAGAAGGGATTCGCGACGCCCTTTGATGCTCCCCGCTCCTCGGGCCCATCGATCTGGAGACGGTAGGGAAAACTAGGAGCAGCATAGCCACCAGGGCCAGCACGCAAACGCACCGCTGAGCCATGCTTCTCTCGAGCTCCTGCTGTCAGGCTACCGGGGTAGTTCTGACCTAAACGCCCAGACTAGCGTTTCTTGGCCCTAGCTCTGCTCTTATTCCGGCAAACAGCCTTAGCCACACCCCATATCCAGATCTGACCAATCATCGCTTCGCTAGGACAGCGGAACAACCAATTGACAGAATGACCCCGCCCAGGATCCTTAAGGCCTTTCGAGGGTTGTGGGTTTTCGTGCTGAGGCCAGCAGTTCCTGCAGAGCAGAGGTGAGGTCGGGCTCCAGGCTAGAGTCATGTCTGGTCCGCACTTGATCTCTCACCCATAAATCCTTTCCTGTATGACAACAAATCAAATAAAGGAGGAAAAGCAAAATAAAATGCACGAAGCTTATCAGACCATACTCTGCTGCTCGTTTTTTCCGAAGCTTAGAACCTGACTACAATTCCCTAGATCCTGGGGCGGGGGAGCTCTCTAGGTTCCCAGCTTGATTTCATCTGAAATTGGAACAAATTGCTCTGTTTATAGATACTGCTTTGAAATACCAGCTCAGAGGGTTGGCTCCTGTTTAGAAATTTCATTGAAAGTGCTTTTAATATTAATGTTAACACTACATTTTTGCAACTCTAGACAAGTACAGTAAGACTGAAGGATTTTTAGAAAGATTACTATAAAATATTTAAGAGAATTTTGATGTATAAATAATTTTGATGTATTCCACAAGTGAAATTTTATGGTTATTCAGAGTAGAGGATCATTCTGGAAAAAAGAAAACCTGTCTTATGTCACAGAAATATAAAATCAGATTTCCTGAAGCCAGAATAAATCGTTCCTTTCAGATTTCTTGATGCAATTTTATCTGGCATCACTCTCAAATTTTAGAATTCTCAAGAAAAATTCAGTAAGTGCTATACAACCAGTAAGGCCATATTGCTACCTGTGACCAAAGCTACAGGTTCACAGTCCTGGTGTTTGCATTTCATTTAAGATTTGCTTAAAAAAAAAAATTCAGCCATGTAGTTACTTTTCTTTTCTTTTCTTTTTTTTTCTCTCTCGGTGCCCAGGCTGGAGTGCAATGGGGCGATCTCGGCTCACCGCAACCTCCGCCTCCCAGTTTCAAGCAATTCTCTGGCCTCAGCCTCCCAAGTAGCTGGGATTACAGGCATGCACCACCATGCCTGGCTAATTTTGTATTTTTAGTAGAGATGGGGTTTCTCCATGTTGGTCAGGCTGGTCTCGAACTCCCGACCTCAGGTGATCTGCCCACCTCGACCTCCCAAAGTGCTGGGATTACAGGCGTGAGCCACCACACCCTGCCTAGTTACTTTTTAATAGCAACTTTAAAACAGTATCATGAAATACTTCACATATTATAAAGATATAAAAAATAACATAATGAACATTTCTGGATTCACCACCTAGTTTAAGATTTAGAATGTTAAAAATAGAGTTGAAATTTAAACATGAACATTGACATAATTTTTAGTAAAAAGTAGCTTAATCTCTACCTAACTTTAAAATTTTTTTAAAAGAGACTTTTTATTTTATATATTTATTATTTTTTAAAATTATTATTATTTTTGTAGAGATAGGGTTTCACTATTTTGTCCAGGCTGCTCTTGAACTCCTGGACTCAAGCAACCCTCCCATTTAAGCCTCCCAAAGTGCTAGTATTACAGGAATGAGCCACCACACCCAGCACAATTTTTATGATTGTAAAATTCATGTATATTTATGCCCTTGTGAAATATTTGGAACATTAAGTATAAAGAAAAAAATCACATGCTATCCCAATATCCAGAGACGTTCACTCATCATATTTTGATGTTATCCAATCTTTTTTCTCTGCACACAAATACCCACAAATGAAGGATGTCCCTGTTTTAAAATGAAACAGATGCATATACTGCATCCAAAGTTCTATGTTCTGCTTTTTTTCCTTTAACATTATGTCATAAACACTTCCTGGTCCTTAAATATTCTTTAAATTATCTTATCACATAATATTTGATAATTAAGAGTACGTACAACGTGTATGTAAAGTAAATAATAACATGAACACCCGTGATTTGGAGTTTAGACCTAACTGGTCAAACTGCATTTTTTCTCCTGTCACTGCTCCAATTCTTGCAATCTGTCTAATTCCCACACTGTTCCCAGATCTAGCCAATCATGGAAAATTATCAGTAGCATTGAAGGTGCATGTGTTCTATTGCCTTTATTTTCCAACTCCCTGCCCAAGGTAATTGTATGACCGTGTTGTGTGTTTTAAATAGTTCTACAACATATGTATGATATACATATATGTATAGTGTGTGTGTGTGTGTATATCTTATAAAAATGACATCATGTTGTGTGTAGTCTTCTGCAATTTGCTCTTTTTACCCAACACTGTTTGTGGGATTTATGCATGCTGTTATATCTTGCTACAGTCTATTGACATTATTGTACATGTCTCCTGGGCCACAGGTAAAAGAGATTCTCTGGAATATATATCTAGGAGTGAAAATGCTGTGTTGTACTGTATGTTCTATTTTACAAGAGAAGGCTGAATTATTTTCCAAAGTGATTGGAACAATTTATACTAATCAGCAAGGTAGTGCATAGTATATAAGTTCCTGTTGCTTCACTTTCTCACTAGCTCTTGGCATTGGCATTTCCAATATCTTCATTTTGCCCATTTAGTGCCTGGAAAATATCTCCTTGTGGTATTATTTTGTACTCTCTAGTTTGTTAAAGAGTTTAAGCTTTATTTATTTATTTATTTATTTATTTATCATAGGGTCTTGCTCTGTCACCCAGGCTGGAGTTCAGTGGCACAAGTATAGCTCACTGCAGCCTCCAACTCCTGAGCTCAAAGAATCCTCTTGCCGCAGCCTTCTGAGTAGTTAAGATTGCAAGTGAACACCAACACCTTCAGCTAATTTTTAGAAGTTTTTTTATAGAGACAGTGTCTCTCTATGTTGCCCAGACTGGTCTTGAACTCCTGGCCTCAAATGATCCTCCTGCCTTGGTCTCCCAAAGTGCTGAGATGACAGGCTGAACCACCATGCCTGGCCTAAACATCTTTAAATATGCTTATTTGCCATTCATGTTTCTCTGGTAAAATGACTGTTCATATCTATTGCCCATTTTTGTTTAGAGCTGTCTTCTTATTGAATTTTAAGGGTTTCTATATATTGTGGAGTCTAAAATTTTGTCAGTTTTATTTAAATTATAAATATTTCTCTTCATTTGTGTCTTGTGTTTTTATTTTTTTAATGGCCTTTTGATGGGTTGAAGTCTTAATAATATAGTTGAATTTATTATTATATTCTTTTATAATTAGTGATGTTTTCTTGCTTAAAAAATCTTAACAAATCTAGTCCAAGGTCATAAATATATATATATATATGAATTTTTAGTAAAAAATAGCTTAATCTCTACCAAACTTTAAAAATTTTTAAAAAGATACTTTTTATTTTATGTATTTATTATTTTTAAATTTATTATTATTTTTGTAGAGATAGGGTCTCACTATTTTGCCCAGGCTGCTCTTGAACTCCTGGACTCAAGCTTTTTCCCTTATCTTCGAATTAGAGAAAACAATAGTGCCTACCTCATATTAGTGTTTTGCCCTCTGCAATACGATAATGAAGGCAAAAGAACTTTTTGTGCACAGAGGACTGTAGAAAAAAAAATGATTAATTCATGTTCAGTCTTTCATCTCTGACCATTTGACTCTGACAGGTGCCATCCAGATTCCAACAGTGACTTTTAGCTCTGAGAAGTCCAATACTACAGCCCTGGCTGAGTTCGGAAAATACATTCATAAAGGTCAGCTGCAAATCAGGGGCAAGGGGTGGGTGGTAGAAATAGCAATGGAGACACAGTTCTTTTACAAAGTGATAAAGAAGTTTATTTTGTGACTGATCAGAGGACAATCTAATTCCCATGGGCAGAGTAGAGACTGTAGATTTGCTCTTGGAAAAACTAAGCCACCATATGTAGGGCAACGATTGAGAGTTCATCCAGCCATTGCATTAGAGTATAAACTCTCTCAAACTTTGCCCTACATATGTGTCATTCAATAAATGTTAAATCATCAAAAAGTAGAACTAGGATTTCCTTCTACTTGTGCAACTGCCCAGAACTATGTTCCATGCTCCTCCCACCCCTACCTCCTTACACACCCAAACACACCGGTACATATACACTCCACGTACTCAGGCCTACCCCAGATTCATTACTAACACATTTCTAGGCCTCTAGGCAGTCAACAACTTTGAGCTATAACATCAGTCTTTTTCCCTCATCCCTACCACCCATTGAGTACAGAGCTGAGGAAGGATGGGTCAGAGGAAAAAAGGATTCTTGGAACTCCTCCCTCCCCTTATGAAAATCTCATGGAGAGTGATGAGATTACCT
The DNA here is from genome assembly GCF_000001405.40 of Homo sapiens. Classification (NCBI taxonomy): domain Eukaryota; kingdom Metazoa; phylum Chordata; class Mammalia; order Primates; family Hominidae; genus Homo; species Homo sapiens. The sequence continues at coordinate 205,854,466 of NC_000001.11, forward strand.
TCCTAAATCTAATTAAAAACAACCCCTCCAAAGTTGTCAGAGGTGGGAGAAGGTGGCCTAGGAGCAGCAAGCAGCCCCCTCTCTAACACCCTGGGACAAATGGCTCTGGGATTAGCCATGCATGGTGGCGAGCACCTGTAGTCCTAGTTACAGGAGGCTGAGGTGGGAGGGTTGCTGGATTCCAGGAATTCAAGGCTGCAGTAAGCTATGAATGTGCCACTGTGCTCAAGCGTAAGTGAGAGAGCAAGACCTTGTCTCTGGAAAAAAAAAAAAAAAAAAAAAAAAGAAAGGAAGGAAGGAAAAAACAAAAATGAGTGGCTCAGGGATTAATGCCCAGTAGCCAAGCTGAGGCCAGGCTGAAAAGGCTGGAAGTCTTTACTAAATAGGAGACAAACATAGGAAAGGAAATGTATAGTGACAGTAAACTAGATAAGCTAAGTGACAAGATAAAACCATATTCTTCTTCAGTTTTTGGGTATCCACAGAATTATATGTGAATTCTTCCAAAAAGCCCAGAGACAGATAAAATTTATTTCTCCTATGTAGCTAAGGTCACTTGAATAATTGACCCTGGGAACATCTACACCTGCATGCAGAAGCACCTTGTGCTAAACAGAATAATCTGTGTTCACATAACACATACACTAGATGTGTGGCTTTTTAAAAAGAAAAATGTCTCTGAACTTTTTAATATAATATTTAAATATAATTTGGTTAATGAGGCCTACTAATTTAATATAATAATTTAATATAATTTGGTTAATGAGGCCTCCTATGGTCAAAATTTAATGCATCCCTCATCTGCATAGCCCTTTAACACATACTTGTGATAGCATGTTATAGGTCTGACCAAGCCTGAGCTTGAGATATTGACCATCTTAGTAGTGAGTCTTTTTTTTTTGAGATTGAGTTTTGCTCTTTTCACCCACGCTGGAGTGCAATGAACTTAAACTATACCCTAGAACAAATGGACTTAACTGATATTTACAGACTATTCTACCTAACAATTCAGAATATACATTTTTTTCATCAGCACATGGAACATTCTCCAAGATAGACCATTTGATCGGCCACAAAACAAATCTCAATAAATTTAAGAAAATCAAAATTATATCAAGTACTCTCTCAGACTACAGTGGAATAAAATTGGAAATTAACTCTAAAAGGAACCCTCAAGACTATACAAATATGTGGAAATTAAATAATCTGCTCCTGAATGATCTTTGGATCAACAATGAAATAAAAATGGAAATTAAAAAATTCTTTGAACTGAATGATAATAGTGACAGAACATGTTAAAACCTCTGGGATACAGCAAAAGTGGTGCTAAGACGACATTTCATAGCATTAAATGCCTACATCAAAAAGTCTGAAAGAACACAAATAGAGAACCTAAGATCACACCTCAAGGAACTAGAGAAACAAGAACAAACCAAACCCAAAACCAGCAGAAGAAAATAAATAACAAAAGTCAGAGCAGAACTAAATGAAATTGAAACAAACAAACAAAAAACAATACAAAAGATAAATGAAGCAAAAAGATGGTTCTTTGAAAAGATAAAAAAAATTGATAGACCATTAGTGAGATTAACCAAGAACAGAGAGAAGATCCAAATAAGCTCAATTAGAAATGAAACAGAAGATATTACAACTGATACCATAGAAATACAAAAGATCATTTAAGGCTACTATGAACACCTTTATGCACACAAACTAGAAAATCTAGAGGAGATGGATAAATTCCTGGGAATATGCAACCCTACTAGATTAAATCAGGAAGAAATAGAAACTCTGAACAAACCAATAACAAGTAGTGAGATTGAAATGGTAATTAAAAAATTGCCAACAAAATAAAGCCCAGGATCAGATGGTTACACAGCTGAATTCTATCAGGCATTCAAAGAAGAATTGGTACCAATCTTACTGAAATTATTCCATAAGATAGAGAAAGAGGGAATCCTCCCTAAGTCATTCTATGAAGCCAGTATCACCCTAATAGCAAAACAAGAAAAGGACATAATAAAACAAGAAAACTACAGACCAATATCCCTGGTGAACATAGATGTGAAAATCCTCAACAAAATACTAGCTAACTGAACCCAACAGCATATCAAAAAGATAATACACCATGATCAAGTGGATTTCATGCCAGGAATGCATGGATGGTTTAACATACACAAGTCAATAAATGTAATACATCACATAAGCAGAATTAAGAACAGAAATTATATGATCATCTCAATGGATGCAGAAAAAGCATTTGCCAAAATCCAGCATCACTTTATGATGAAAGCCACCAGCAAAGTCAGCATAGAAGGGACATAACTCAAAGTAATAAAAGCCATCTATGACAAACACACAGCTGACATTATAGTGAATGGAGAAAAGTTGAAAGCATTCCCTCTGAGAACTGGAACAAGAAAAGGATTCTTACTTTCACCACTGCTACTCAATATTGTACTGGAAGTCCTAGCCAGAGAAATCGGACAAGAGAAAGAAATAAAGGACATCCAAATTGCAAAAGAGAAAGTCAAACTGTCACTATTCACTGATATAATGACATGATATGATGACATAATTGTATACCTAGAAGACCCTAAAGACCCATCCAGAAAGCTCCTAGATGTGGTAAATGAATTCAGTAAAGTTTCAGGATACAAAAACAATGTACACAAATCAGGAGTACGGCTATACAACACCAACAACCAAACTAATAATCAAATCAAGAACTCAACCCCTTTTACAACAGCTGCAACAAAATTAAATACTTAGGAATATACCTAACCAAGGAGGTGGAAGATCTCTACAAGGAAAACTACAAAAAACTGCTGAAAGAAATCATAGATGATACAAACAAATGGAAACATATCCTATGCTCACAAATGGGTAGAAACAATATTGTGAAAATGAGCATACTACCAAAAGCAATCTACAAATTCAATGCAATTCCCATCAAAATACCATCATCATTCTTCACAGAACTAAAACAAATATTAAAATTCATATGGAACCAAAAATGAGCCTGCATAGCCAAAGCAAGACTAAACAAAAAGAAGAAATCTGGAGGCATCACATTACCAGACTTCAAACTATACAACAATGCTGGTAGAAGAGGTGAGGCAGGACTAGCTTGTCTGTCATAATGTAAAAGAGTCTTGGAAGATGTCTGGGGTCCAGGGTCTAAAACCCTTCGTGGCCTTTGGAACACCAAGCTCTATGCCAAAGGGTGGAAGGCTGCCCTGACATGCCAAAATCTAAGCCCAGGGCATAAAACCCCTTGTGGCTTGTATGGAATCCGGGGCTCAGGGCATAAACCCCCTTGTAGCCTCTGGAATGTGCACAGACTTGTTGGTTCCTTGCTTCTTACTTGTAAACATGTCCTCCATTATCTCAAGCAGCAGAGCATATTCTATATGCATCAAAGAAAATGCTAAACCATCACAGCTACGCTTAATGCACCACTACCTTTCTACCCCCACGTCCTCATGCCCTCACCTCTTTACCCCCACATCTGCACGTCCTCACCATCTGCTTCTTTGTTTGGTCTCCAATAAATAGTGTGGGCTCCCAGAGCTCAGGGCCTTCGCAGCCTCCAATCTAGTGTTGGCCCCCTGGACCCAATTTATGCACTTTTAACTTGTCTTTTCTCATTTCTTTCACCCCACCGGACTTTGTAGCCTGATGGCCTGGTGTTGGGCCTGATCACCCCAAAATTTCAGGCACCCAACGTGGGGCTATGAAGACCATGGTAAAGAAATGCTAGAGTATATGGAAATGAAGGACATATCATCAAAGGACACCCGAGGATGGCTGAAAGAAGCTTGGTGGGTAAGCTGGGCACTCTGAAGAACCAAGGTAACAATGGGACAAAATGAAAGTAAACATTCTGCTTGTTTAAACTTTCTAAGGCATTTATTATGGAGAGGGGGAGTGAAAGTTAGTACTCAGAATTTATTAACACTCTTTAGTACAGTGGAGCAGTTTTGCCTGTGGTTCCTAGAACAAGGGACAATGGAGTTCGATGAATGGGAAAGAATTGGCAGAGATCTAAAAAAGGTGCATAAAGAAGGAGCCAAAATTCCAGTTTCTTTTTGGTCAGTGTGGGCATTGATAAAGGCAGGTCTTGAGCCATTTCAAACAAATGATGAGGCAGATTCAGATAAGGAAGAGGAAAACGAGTGTAAAAAATTAACTTCAGATTCTGAATGTGGGGAACAGCAACCAGAGGAAATTAAAGAAAGGAAAACTAAAACAGATATATTTTAGTAGCCCGTTGGTTCCACCTGCTGAATTAAGTGAATGGCCACTTCCTTCCTCTCCCCCTAATGGTCGAGAAAATGAATTAGCTGCAAAACTTACTGCTCTGGTAGCTGCAACATTAAAACCTGGAGGAATTGGTGATGCTATACAAAATTCTATTCAGAAGGTTAGAGCTGAAGGAGACCTAGATGCATGGCAATTTCCCATTACTATAATCCAGCAAGGAGGACAGAATATAACTAATTGGACCACCTTTCCTTTTAAGTTGTTAAAGGAATTCAAGCAAGCCATTAGTCAATATGGGCCAAATTCTCCTTTTGTACAAACTTTACTAAAAAATGTGGCTCTTGATAATAGATTAATACCATATGACTGGGATACTTTAACAAAGTCTGTTCTCACTCCATCTCAGTACCTGCAGTTTAAAACCTGGTGGGCTGATGAAGCTCAAACTCAGGCAAGAGAAAACACACAAACACAGCCACCTGTGCTTGTTTCCTTTGAATGGTTAATGGAGTTGGGCCCTAATTGGGGATGATTAGACAATTAAGCAGTAATGGAGGATGTTGCCATCGGGATGTTCTGTCCGACAAGGACCTAAAGAACCATATACTGACTTTATTGCTCAGCTCCAAGAGGCTGTGCGTAAAGCTGTAACTGATAAAACAGCTCAAGACATGGTAATACAACTTCTTGCATATGATAATGCTAATGCAGAGTGTCAAGCTGCCATTAGACCTATGCAAGGGAAGCCTCATTTGGCTGAATATATTAAGGCTTGTGATGGCATTGCGGGTAATTTACATAAGGCTACTCTTTTAGCTCAAGCTATGGCTGGATTAAAGGTGGGAAAAAATATGCCCCATTTCTCAGGCTCTTGTTTTAATTGTGGGCAATTTGGACACACAAAAAAAGGAATGTAGAAAAGGAAATCAAAAGGCAAAAACTATTACCATCAATCAACAGAAAAGTTCCGGTGTATGCCCCTGGTGTAAGAAAGGCAATCACTGGGCAAATCAGTGTCATCCTAAATTTAGCAAAGATGGGCAACCTCTTTTGGGAAACGGGAAGAGGGGCCCACCTCGGGCCCCTCAACAAACTGAGGCATATCTGGCACAGCCAGTGCCCTTACAAAAGTACAACAATTGTATCCCACCACAGCAGGCAGTACTGTGTAGATCTTTGTAGCACAGTTCCCATTTCCTTACTTCCTGGGGAGCCACCAAAGAAGGTCCTCATGGGAGTTAGGGGCCCTTTACCCTCAGGAACAGTTGGTCTATTGCTTGGAAGGTCTAGTTTAAATTTAAGAAGTGTCACTGTACATACAGGAATAATTGATTCTGATTATACCTGAGAGATTCAGTTAGTTATTAGTTCCTCAATTCCATGGTCTGCTTCCCCAGGGGAAAGAATTGCTCAGTTGTTACTGTTACCTTATACAAAGCTAGGAAGTACTACAGTAAAAGGAACAGGAGGCTTTGGTAGTACTAACCCAGCAGGAAAAGCTATATATTGGGTTAATCAAGTGTCTGACAAAAGACCTATTTGTACAGTAACCATTCAAGGAAAAGATTTTGAGGGGCTAGTACATACTGGAGCTGATGTTTCTATTATTGGTTTAAATCAATGGCCCCAACATTGACCAAAACAAAAGGCATCCATTGGTATTGTTGGAGTAGGGGCTGCCTCAGAAATTTTTCAAAGTTCTTTAATTTTGCCATGCCAGGGGCCAGATGGCCAAGAAGGGACAATTCAACCTATTATTACACCTATTCCTGTAAATCTATGGGGTAGAAACTTATTACAACAATGGGGTGCTGAAATATCTATTCCTATGGATCAGTATAGTGATAACAGTAATCAAATGATGAGAAAAATGGGATATCTCCCAGGGAAGGGACTGGGAAAAAATGAAAATGGCCAAACAGAACCTTTAGAACTAAAAGGGCAAACAGATACAACTGGATTAGGGTATCATTTTTAGGGGTGGCCATTGCTGAGCCTCCGGGTCCCATTCCTCTTGTTTGGTTAACTGCCAAACTGGTTTGGGTGGAGCAATGGCCGCTGAAACAGGAAAAACTGGAGGCTTTAAAAGAATTGATACAAGAACAATTGCAAAAGGGACACATAGAGCCTGCTCTCTCCCCTTGGAATTCTCCTGTGTTTGTTATTAAGAAAAAATCAGGGGAATGGAGAATGTTAATAGATTTGAGGACTGTCAATGCTGTAATTCAACCCATGGGTGCACTGCAACCAGGGCTGCCTTCTCCAACAATGATCCCAAAATACTGGCCTCTCATAGTGACAGATTTAAAAGATCACTTCTTTACCATTCCTTTAGTTGCCCAAGATTATGAAAAATTTGCTTTTACTGTTCCTGCTATAAATAACAAAGAACCAGTGGACAGATACCATTGGAAAGTACTGCCACAAGGCATGTTAAATAGCCCGACTATTTGTCAAACTTATGTTGGAAAAGCTATTAAGCCAGTTAGAGAACAATTTTAAAAATGTTATATCATACATTACATGGATAATATTTTATGTGCAGCTGAAACTAGAGAGGAGTTAATGCTATGTTACAAACAGTTAGAAAAGGCTGTGACTGCAGCAGGGTTAATCATAGCCCCCGATAAAATTCAAACTTCTACTCCCTTTCAATATTTAGGAATGAAAGTAGAATAAAGTACTATTAAGCCTCAAAAAGTTCAAATTAGAAGGGATAATTTAAAAACTCTAAATGATTTTCAAAAATTATTAGAAGACATTAATTGGATTCATCCTACTTTAGGCATTCCTACTTATGCTATGTCTCACCTCTTTTCTACCTTACGAGGTGATTCTGATCTTAACTGCAAATGGTCCCTGTCCAAAGAGGCATTAGAAGAACTTCAATTAATTGAAGAAAAAATTCAATAGGCACAAGTGACTCTAATTAACCCTATGCAGCCATTACAGTTTTTAGTTTTTCCTACTAAACATTCACCAACAGGTGTTATTGTTCAACAGGATGCTTTGGTTGAGTGGCTTTTTCTACCTCACAATACAACTAAAATGCTCACTCTGTACTTAAATTGCTGTACTAGTAGGACAAGCAAGGCTGCGCACAACAAAGTTAATGGGATATAATCCAAATAAAATTATAGTTCCATTAGACAAACAACAAATTCAGCAGGCTTATATTAATTCCCAGGAATGGCAAATTAATATGGCAGGTTTTACTGGTGTTCTTGATAATCATTATCCTAAATCCAAAATATTCCAATTTCTTAAATTGACATCATGGATATTGCTTTCCATTACTCAAAAAACCCCTATTGAAAGGGCCATTACTGTTTTTACTGATGGATCTAGTAATGGAAAGGCCTCATTTGTGGGACCTCAACAAGTTTTTCAAACTGACTTTGCTTCTGCTCAAAGGGCTGAACTTATGGCTGTGATAACAGTGTTAAAAACTTTTAAATAGCCAGTAAACATTGTTTCTGGTTCAGCCTATGTAGTGCAAGCCACACAAAATATTGAACATGCCTTAATTCAAAATGTGACTAAAGACCAACTTAATGTTTTATTTCATTCTCTACAGCAAGCAGTACAACAAAGGCATTCCCCTTTCTATGCACTCATATGAGAGCACATACTAACTTCCCTGGCCCTTTAACTAAATTTAATCAAAGGGCGGATAATTATATGGGGAAGAGGATTTTCTTGTGTCTCTCCAGGTAACAATCAGGCACCTGTGTGGGTGCCCACCAAACATCTGGAGATCTATCATGAGCCACACCAGGAAGAGAGGGCTCTGGGAAGAGCCAGAGCTCCTGATATGAGTGATGGTACAAATGAACATCTCAGAGACAAAGGAGAAGACCAATGGAGGTATACACTAATGATAGTTTTTGGATGCCTGGTTCTACTGATGATAGAGGCCCATCTCACCCCCAAGAGGAAGGAACAATTATGAACGTCTCATTGGGATTTAAGCATTTACCTATTTGGTTAGGAAAAGCTAATGGGTGTTCACCTCCCAGTCATCAATCTTGGCTGGCAATAGTGCCTGAACGTAACATCTCCATAGCACAATTACATATGCTTTCTGGTCTTAGTATTTATCACCATGATTATGCTTCTGTAACTGAAGTTTACCACCCTCAGAAACCTATCTGTAAAGTGGACTAGACATGGTCAGAAAAAATGAAGGCATTTGCTTGGGAAGATTGTGTCACATGGAAAGCAGAGGTGTTGCATAATGATTCATATGGAGTCATTATTGATTGGTCCCCTAAAGGGGCATTTATGAGGCTCACCTCTCAATCTGTAAGTAATGGTCACCCTGCATCTAAACAAAATAATCAGATGGTGGACACTATAAGAAGTACAGCAAGAGATCCTATTATTTGGGCATGTGGTGGTATAGTGGTACCTCAGCCCCAAACGATATGGCCTGCTGTAGGGGCAAAACATAAGGAATTATGGAAAATATTAACAGCACTAAAAAATGATAAAGATTTGGAAAGGGAAATATACTAAGCCAACCCAATATAATCCTAATTACATGTTAAAATTGGCTCACAATGATTCAGTCTGGATACAGAGTTGTGTCCATCACCTTTCCTGTTTGTAGTGGGTGATTTAAAACTTGATCTCTTTAATCATCATGTGACTTGTCAATAATGTAGATTGTCTTCTTGTGTGAATTCTTCCTTATATAACACTGATCATTCTATTTTAATGGTAAGAGCCCAAGAAGGAGTATGGATACCTGAGAAGCTTTCCCATCCCTGGGAAGCCTCTCCTTCTGTGCATATTATTACTGAAATTCTTCAAAAGATTTTGAGGCACTCACGGCATTTCATTGCTACTTTAATTTTCATTATTATGGGATTGATTGCTGTCACAGCTACTGCTGCAGTAGCTGGAGTTGCTTTGCATTCCACAGTACAAACAGCAGACTATGTAAATAATTGGTAGAAAAATTCTACTCTGCTGTGGAATTACCAAAATAATATAGACCAGAAACTAGCTGATCAAATTAATGATCTCCAACAAACTGTAATGTGGCTAGGAGATCATATAGTTAGTTTAGAATATAGAATGCAGTTACAATGTGATTGAAATACCTCTGATTTTTGCATTACTCCTCATCTGTGTAATGAAACAGAGCATGAGTGGGAAAAAGTTAAGAGATATTTAAAAGGTCATACTAGAAATTTATCTTTGGATATTGCAAAGCTAAAGGAACAAGTATTTCAAGCCTCTCAGATACATCTGACACTAATGCCAGGAACTGAAGTGCTTGAAGGAGCTACAGACGGATTAGCAGCTATTAACCTGCTAAAATGGATCAAGACACTTGGAGGCTCTGTGATTTCAATGATTGTGCTTTTAATCTGTGTTGTTTGTCTTTATATAGTCTGTAGATGCGGAAGCCACCTCTGGAGAGAAAGCCACCACTGAGAGCAAGCAATGATAGCTGTGGCGGTTTTGCAAAAAAGAAAAGGGAGACAAGCGCCCAGCTATAGTTACCAATAAAGCATGGTACTGGTATTAAAATAGGCATGTGTTCTGTTCCAATGGAACAGAATAGAGAACCCAGAAACAAAGCCAAATATTTACAGCCAACTGATCTCTGACAAAGCAAACAAAAACATAAAGTGGGGAAAGGACACCCTATTCCACAAATAGTGCAGGGATAATTGGCAAGCCACATGTAGAAAAATGAAGCTGGATCCTCGTCTCTCACTTTATACAAAAATCAACTCAAAATGGGTCAAAGTCTTAACTCTAAGACCTGAAACCATAACAATTCTAGAAAATAACATTGGAAAAACTCTTCTAGACATTGGTTTAGGCAAAAAGTTCATGACCAAGAACCCAAAAGCAAATGCAATAAAAAGGAAGATAAATAGATGGGACCTAATTAAGCTGAAAAGCTTCTGCATAGCAAAAGAAATAATCAGCAGAGCAAACAGACAACCCACAGGGTGGGAGAAAATATTTGCAAGCTATGTATCTGACAATGGACTAATATCCAGAATCTACAAGGAATTCAAACAATTAGCAAGAAAAAACACTTGTATTGTGTTTGTTCTGTAAATCAGCAAGAAAAAAATCACATAATTTCATTAAAAAGTGGGTAAAGGACATGAACAGACAATTCATAAGAAGATATACAAGTGGCCAACAAACATATGAGAAAATGCTCAACATCACTAATTATTAGGGAAATGCAAATCTAAACCACAAGGAGATACTATTTTACTTTTGCAAGAATGGCCATAATTTAAAAACACAGATGTTGGCATGGATGTGGTGAAAAGGGATCACTTTTATATGGCTGGTAGGAATGTAAACTAGTTCAACCACTATGGAAATCAGTATGGAGATTACTTAAAGAATGAAAAGTAGATCTACCATTCTATCCAGCAATCCCACTCCTGGGTATCTACCCAGAGGAAAATAAGTCATTATATGAAAAAGGCATTTGCACACGCATGTTTATAGTGGCACAATTCGCAATTGCAAAAATATGGAACCAGTCTAAATGCCCATCAAGCAATGAGTGGATAAAGAAAATGTAATATATATATATTATACCCACACACACACACCATGGAATACTACTTAGGCATAAAAAGGAACAGAATAATGGCATTAGCAGCAACCTGGATGGAGTTGGAGAGTATTATTCTTTTTTTTTTTTTTTTTTTTGAGACAGAGTCTCCCTCTGTCACCCAGGCTGGAGTGCAGTGGTGCAATCTCAGCTCACTGCAACCTCTGCCTCCCAGGTTCAAGCGATTCTCCTGCCTCATTCTCCCAAGTGGCTGGGACTACAGGCACACACCACCACACCTGGCTAACTTTTGTGTTTTCAGCAGAGATTTTCACAAAGTTGCCCAGGCTGGCCTTGAACTCCTGACCTCAAGTGATCCGCCTGCCTTGGCCTCCCAAAGTGCTGGGTTTATAGGCGTGAGCCACCGTGCCCGGCCACATAGTGATGTTTTGATACATATAATATATAGTGATCAGATCAGGGATATTAGCATATCAATAATCTCAAACATTTGTCATTTCTTAGTGTTGGGAACGTTCAATAGCTTCCTTTTAGTTACTTGAAACTATATAACGCGTTATTGTTAACTATAGTCTTCCTACAGTGCTATAGAACAGTGGTCTCCAACCTTGTTGGCACCAGGGACCAGTCTGGTGGAAGACAAAAATGGGTGGGGGAGGGGGAATGGTTTCGGGGTGAAACGGTTTCACCTTAGATCATCAGTTAGATTCTTACAAGCAGCATGCAACCTAGATCTCTTGCATGCACAGTTCACTATAGGGTTCGCACTCCTACGAGAATCTCATGACCCCACTGATCTGACAGGGGGCTGCTCACTCACCTGCTGCTCACCTCCTGCTGTGTGGTCTGGTTCCTAACAGGCCACATACCAGTACCAGTCTGTGGCCCAGGGGTTGGGGATCCTTGGTATCAAATACTAGTACTTTTTCCTCTTATCTAGCCATAATTTTGCTTTCCAAAAGTTTTTATTTTATTTTATTTTTTATTGATATAAGATATTTTACATATTTTTGGTGCACTTTTTAAAATTTTTTATTTTGCAGTTGCAAGATTTAATAGAGTGAAAACAGAGCTCCCATACAAAAGGAGGGGACCCAAAGGGGGTTGCCCACTCCTGGCTCGAATACCTGGGGTTTATATCCAAATCATTTTTGCTCCCCCTGTGCTCTCAGATGATAGATGATTTGACTATTTCTTTACCTCCTGCTTTTAGTCTAATTTGTATTTTAGTGAGCCCTCTTTACTACCTGATTGGTCGGGTGTGAGCTGAGTTACAAGCCCAGTGCTTAAAGGTGGGTGTGATCACCTTCTCCAGCTAGGCTTAGGAATTCTTAGTTGGCCTAGGAAGTCCAGCTAGTCCTGTCTCTCAGTCCCCCTCTCAACAGGAAAACCCAAGTGCTGTTGGGGAGGTTGGCTGATGACTGCTCTGCTTCCTGCTGAATTTGGGTGTAGTAGGGGTCGTGCAGTTGAGAGTTCCTCAGGAGGGGTGCCTTTGATGTCATCAACATCGGAGCATGGGCTAGTAGGCTGGTCCAGGGGTCTGCAGTAGATCTTAGTCATGGACTGTATCTGGGGCTCCATTTGAAGAACCATTTGTAGTTTTACAGCTTCGATTCTGGAAGAGACAAACTTAACAAGGAGGTTAAAGATACACGGATTGAAATGTATGGCCTGAAGTGCAGGGGCATATGGGTGTGGGTGGTGAAAGTGGGGTTTCCTTTAGAAAAACTCCTATACAATGGGGCATCAATATTTCCGGGAAGCCGCATTCTCCATAGAAGCTCTTGGTAAGGGGAACTACTGGTAGTACAGCGGCATAGAGGAGGTGCAGTGAGCATGAAAGAGGGTAAGAGAACAGTAAAAAGAAAAATATGACAAGGGAGGGTCATGGGGATCTATGATTCTAGTTACTTTCCTCACGGTTGTTGCTTGAAGAGCAGGCGCAGATCCTCTAGAGGTTCACAAGAATAGCTAGCATTGTCTCCTGGATTTTCAGGTTCCTTTGGCAGTATCCAGGGTTTGACTCAAGTGTGATGTATCCAAGACTCCACTCCAACCACTTTAACTGTGGTTGGGGTAGATAAAATGACTGGGTAGTGTCCATCCCAGGATGTGTCTAGGGATGGGGAATTAGAAGGAAGGGACTTGACTAATACCATGTCACCGGGGTGGAATAATTCCTTTCCCTCCTCTCGGGGACAGGTTCCCTGTAGTGTTTTAAGAACTTGTTGATATTTGGCTAAGGAGGTGATGTCTGCAACTAAGTTGGCAGTCTCTCGGTAAAGCACAAGGTCATTGGTTAGGAAGGGCTGTCCATACAACATCTCGTATGGGCTAAGTCCTGCTTTCTGGGGAAAGTTTCGGATTCTTAGTAAGGCTATAGGCAACACAGCAGGCCATGCAAGGTGGGTTTGTTGGGTTAGCGTTTTTAGATGTCATTTGAGTGTTTCATTCATTTTCTTTTTTTTCTGTTTTTTTTTTATATTTTTTTATGTTTTATTTTTATTTTTTTAAATTTTATTATTATTATACTTTAAGTTTTAGGGTACATGTGCATAATGTGCAGGTTAGTTACATATGTATACATGTGCCATGCTGGTGTGCTGCACCCATTAACTCATCATTTAGCATTAGGTTTCATTCATTTTCTCAACTTTTCCTGAGGATCGTGGCCTCCAGTCATAGTGTAAGTGATATTGTATGCCTAACACCTGGGATACTCCCTGGGTTACTGTAGCCTTGAAAGCAGGGCCATTGTCACTCTGTAAGCCTCGGGGAAGTCTGAATCTGGGAATTATTTCATGAACTAGTGCCTTCATTACCTCTTGAGTCTTTTCTGTTCTACAAGGAAAAGCGTCCACCCAACCAGTGAAGGTGTCTACCCAGACTAGTAGATACTGAAATCCCTGAGATTTGGGCATGTGGGTAAAATCTAGTTGCCAGTCTTCTCTTGGGTAATGGCCTGCTATTTGTTCTCCTGAAGGAGCTTGGTGATAAGGCAGGGAACACTTCACAGACCCTGACTATCTGCTTGATAGTTTTGAAAAGGCCTGGTCCAGTAAATAATGATTTGGCCATCTGATGGGTGCTATCAATGCCTAAGTGAAAGGTCTCATGAAGCATTTTAAGTAATTTCCATTGGTTAGCTGCAGGCAAAAGTATTTTTCCTTCTTCGGTGGCTAGCCATCCTGAGGGGAGGAAACTATGTTTTCGTGAGTTTCCCCATTCTATTTCTTCTGCTGAGTACTGGGGCTTGGTTTCCTGGAGGGGATTACCCTATACTAGGGGTCCTTCTATAAGCATTTCTAATGGAGGATCCCACCTTGTGGCTCTTTTGGCTTCAATATCCGCTTGGCAGTTCCCTTCTGTTTCCCTTTCCTTTCCTTTCTGATGACCCCGGCAGTGTAAGACTGCCACCTCTTTAGGTTTCTGTACAGCCAATACTAATCTCCTAATGACTTCCTGATGTTTGATAGGTGTTCCCTTGGAAGTTAGGAATTCCCTTTGTCTCCATATTGCTGCATGGGCATGGAGGACTAGGTAAGCATACTTAGACTCTATGTATATATTTACCCCTTTTCCTTCTCTTAATTCTAATGTATAATGGCCACTGCTTTTGCTAGGATATCTCTCCCTAACAAAGGAGTGGGGCTTTCAGGCAAAATTAGAAAGGCATAAGAAAAAAGTAAAGTTCCCCAGTCACGACTTAGTGTCTGGGAGAAGTATTTAGTGACTGCCTGTTCTAGGACCCCTCAGATAGTGACAGATCTGGAGGACAGTTGTCTGGGACAGAAGAGTAAGACTGAGAAGGCTGCACCAGTGTCCAAGAGACAGTTAACCCCCTGGCCCTCAATGGTCAAGCATACCCAGGGCTCTGTGATGGTGATAGCATGGGCTGGTGCTTGCCCTGGGCACCCTCAGTCCTGCTGCTGGATCATCTGGTGAGTGGCTTCTGACTCAGAGGACCTTGGTCCCTTGGGGCAGTGGGTCTTCCAGTGATTCCCTTGACATAAGGGGCATGGACAAAGGGGTGGCTTATTTCTATTCAGACAATCTATTTAAAAGTGTCCTTGTAGACCGCACTGGAAGCAAGCCCTATTAGGCATTCAATTTGCCCAGACTTTCCCTTTTTCAGAGCCTCCAAAGTCTGCTTGCCTGAGGGCCCTGACTAAAGCCATGGCCTTTTTTTTTTGTCCCATTTGTCCCATTCCACCTGCTCCTCCTGATCTCTATTATAAAAAACCGAGTTTGCCAAGTTCATTAGGGTTTTTAAGTTTTGCTCCAGGCCTAAAGTGGACTTTTGAAGTTTTTTCTAATGTCTGCAACTGACTGAGTGATAAACTTATCTTTTAAGATTAGCTGGCCTTCAATAGAGTCAGGTGACAGAGGGTATGATTCCTCAATACCTTCCTGAGTCTCTCCAGAAAGGCGGTAGGATTTTCTTCCTTTCCCAGTGTTATAGTGGACATCACTGAATAATTTATAGTCTTCTTCCTAGTTTTCCTTAGTCCTTCTAGCAGACAAGTTAGCAAATGTCTGCAGCACCAATCTCCATGTTCTGATTCTGCGTCCCAATGAGGGTCTACACTGGGAACTGCCTGCTGGCCTGTAGGGAATTGTTCTCTTTCTTCTGTTGTCATCCTATTATTGACCTGACTGAGATACCAGAGATTGCCAAACTCTGGAGTTGCAGTTATGGTGGCAATTCTCTCATTTGGGGTTAGTGTCTGATCTAGCAGTAACATTATATATATATCTCTCCATGTCAGATCAAAGGGTTGTCTTAATCCTTGTGAAACATCAATATAGCCATCAGGGTTATCTGAGAATTTACCTAGGTCTATTTTAATTTGCTTCAAGTCTGAGAGGGAAAAAGGTACATACACTCTGACTGGGCCAAATTCTCCAGAATACATCTTAGGTGCATTTTTGCCGTGTGGGGAACATTTCCCACCTGAAAAAAGAACATAGGGATGCCAGCACCCCTAGTCATTTTCCAATGAGCATTTGTCTGAGAGCATCCTCTAAGGCCCTAATGCTTATTCCTTTCCAGGGTGCATAACCACCCGTGGACCTCTGCTTATCAGATTAGTTATGCTCACTGATGTAGCAGCCCTACACCTGTTTTCCTGCCTTTCTTGACCACAAAGAAAGAGGTCTGGGCTGCTGGATTCTAGTGGCCCTTTACCAGTGTGCCCAACATTGCCTTTATGCTCAGGGGTGAGTTCTAGAGCTGGGCTGGGTTCCTATTTCCTAACAACCCAGCTGCCCCATCAAGAGGCATTCCCATAAACAACAGTTCTTATGCAAATTTGTTTCAGAGCGGGTGTAGGTAACCTTTTGAGTCAAGATTGAGATAGAGTTTTTTGATTCTGTAAGTACTTTAAGGCTTGGCTGAGTTCAAACAGCTCACATGTTTGAGCAGACCAATTATTAGGCAATTTTCCTAACTCTGCTTCTACAAGAGTTTCCCTATCAATTACTGAATACCCACTGTGCGTGTGTGTTTTTTTTTCAATCACCCGGGAGGAACCATCTATCCTCTTGTCCTGAAGGGAGTTCCTCCTAGGTCTGGTCGGACCTTTGTATGGTAATTAAGATTTAAATCCCCCGTTAGGAAACCCGCTGGGTTAAGGAAATTTTCAGTGGTTAATGTTAAGTCATCTTTTTCTAACAGAATAGCCCTATACTTTAAGATTTTTGAGTTAGTAAGCTACCTTTCTGCTTTTTTTACTTAGGATAGTTCTGAACTGGTGAGGTGTGCTCACAGTGAGGTTTCCTCTAAAAGCATTTTTCTGCTTTCTTCTGTTAGCAAAGCAGTAGCGGCTACTGATTGAATGCATTTGGGCCATCCGCAGGTTACTGGGTTAAAGGATTTTTGATAGGAAGACTACAGGTTGTCAGTGGTCTCAGTGTTTTCGGGCTACACCCTTGTTTACACTGACAAGTTGGTATTGGAGTGTTATAGGGTCCTGGAGAAGACCTTCAATGATCAATTATAGGTTTTAAATTTACCCTGGCTTTTAAAGCAATAGGGTACACTGTTTTTTCTTTACTTGTATATCTCTTTCTCTCTCTCTTTGACTTTCTGTCTCTCTCTTTCTCTCTCTGACTCCCTCTTTGTCTCTGTCTCTCTCTCTCTCCTCTCTTTGACTCCCTCTTTGTCTCTCTGTCTCTTCCTCTCTCTCTCTTTCTCTTTTTATAGATGGGTTTTGGGAACACAGCAGAAGAACGTTCACTCATTACCCCCATTTGCCACTATAGGAATATGTGCCTCCCTTTTATTTACTCCATTTGCTTTCATCCTGATCTGTTGTCATAGACCCAGTTCCAGTTGTTAAAGTACTGGGTCATCAGTTCTAAGGCCCTGGACAAGGAGCCAAGGCCTGGAGATTGCCTGTTCTAAGACCCCTCAGATAGTGACATAGTGACTCAAAGCTAAGTTACTCATAGCTTTGGGTAACTTACAGTGGAGGGTAAGTCCATCCCCTTCTTAATCAATACAGAGGCTACCAAGTCCATATTACCTTCTTTTCAAGGGCATGTTTCCCTTGCCTCCATAACTGTTGTGGGTATTGACGGCCAGGCTTCTAAATCTCTTAAAACTCCCCAACTCTGGTGCCAACTTGGACAACATTCTTTAATGCACTCCTTTTTAGTTATCCCCACCTGCCCAGCTCCCTTATCAGGTGGAGATATTTTAACTAAATTATCTGCTGCCCTGACTATTGCTGGGCTATAGCCACAACTCATTGCTGCCTTTTGTCCCAGTTCAAAGCCTTCTTCACATCCTCTCCTTGTATATCCCCACCTTAATCCACAAGTATAGGATACCTCTACTCCCTCCTTGGCAATGGATGATGCACCCGTTACCATCCCATTAAAACCTAATCACCCTTACCCCACTCAATGCCAACATCCCATCCCACAGCATGCTTTAAATGGATTAAAGCACTTGCCTGTTACAGCATGGCCTTTTAAAGCCAATAAACTCTCCTTACAATTCCCTCATTTTACCTGTCCAAAAACCAGACAAGCCTTATAGGTTAGTTCAGTATCTGTGCCTTATCAACCAAATTGTCTTGCCTGTCCACTCCATGGTGTCAAAACCATATACTCTCCTATCCTCAATGCCTCCTTCCACAACCCCTCCATAACCCATTATTCTGTTCTGGATATCAAACATGCTTTCTTTATTGTTCCATTGCACCTTTTATCCCAGCCTCTCTTTGCTTTCACTTGCACTGACCCTGACACCCATCAGCCTCAGCAACTTACCTGGGCTGTACTGCCGCAAGGCTTCGCGGACAGCCCCCATTACTTCAGTCAAACCCAAATTTCTCCCTCATCTGTTACCTATCTCAGCATAATTCCTCATGAAAACACATGTGCTCTCCCTGTTGATTGTGTCTGGCTAATCTCCCAAACCCAACCCCTTCTACAAAACAACAACTCTTTTCCTTCCTAGGCATGGTTAGGTACTTCCGCCTTTGGATACCTAGTTTTACCATCCTGACTAAACCATTATGTAAACTCACAAAAGCAAACCTAGCTGACCCCATAGATCCTAAATCCTTTTGCCGCTCCTCTTTCTGTTCCTTAAAAACAGCCCCAGAAGCTGCCCCAATGCTGGCTTTCCCTAACTCATCCCAACCCTTTTCATTACACACAGGCAAGGTACAGGGCTGTGCGGTCAAAATTCTTACACAAGAGCCAGGACCATGCCCTGTAGGCTTTCTGTTCATACAACTTGACCTTACTGTTTTAGGCTGGCCCCCACCCCAGTGACTATATCTCTCTGATCCACCTGACATTCACTCCATTTCCCTGTAGTTCCTTCTTTCATGTTCCTCACCCTGATCACACTTGGTTTATTGATGGCAGTTCCACCAGGCCTAATCTCCACTCACCAGCAAAGGCAGGCTATGCTAGAGTATCTTCCACATCTATCATTGAGGCTACCACTCTGCCCCCCTCCATTACCTCTCAGCAAGCTGAACTCATTGCCTTAACTTGAGCCCTCACTCTTGCAAAGGAATTTTGTGTCAATATTTATAGTGACTCTAAATATGCCTTCCATATCCTGCACCACCTTGCTGTTATATGGGCTGAAAGAGGTTTCCTCACTATGCAAGGGTCCTCCATCATTAATGCCTCTTTAATAAAAACTCTTCTGAAGGCCACTTTACTTCCAAAGGAAGCTGGAGTCATACACTGCAAGGGCCACCAAAAGGCATCAGATCCTATCACTGAGGGCAACGCTTATGCTGATAAGGTAGCTAAAGAAGCAGCCAGCATTCCAACTTCCATCCTTCATGGCCAGTTTTTCTCCTTCTAATTGGTCACTCCTATTTACTCTCCTACTGAAGTTTCCACCTATCAATCTCTTCCCACACAAGGCAAATGGTTCTTGGACCAAGGAAAATACCTCCTTCCAGCCTCACAGGCCCATTCTATTCTGTCATCATTTCATAACCTCTTCCATGTAGGTTACACACTGTTAGCTCCTCTCTTAAAACCTCTCATTTCCTTTCCATCATGAATATCTATCCCCAGTCCTCCACTCTTGACTCCCTCTTGGAGTGGATAGATGATCTTTGCTGACAGGACACACTCCAACACTTTCACCCTGATGAAGTCCTATTCTTTACTTTTATACTCACTCTTATTCTCATTCCCATTCTTATGCCACCCTCTACCTCTCCTCAGCTATCTCCACCACACTATCAATCTCACTCACTCTCTCCTAGCCATTTCTAATCCTTCTTTAACAAACAATTGCTGGCTTTGCATTTCTCTTTCCTCCAAAATCACTGAGGCCTCAATTTACTCACTGCTGAAAAAGGAGGATTCTGTGTATTTTTAAATTAAGAATGTTGTTTTTACCTAAATCAATCTGGCCTGGCATATGACAACATAAAAAAACTCAAGGATATAAAAACTCACCAAAAAACCGCCCAAAACTCACCAACCAAACAAATAATTATGCTGAACACCCTTGGGCACTCTCTAATTGGATGTCCTGGGTCCTCCCAATTCTTAGTCCTTTAATACCTGTTTTTCTTCTTCTCTTATTCAGACCTTGTGTCTTTCGTTTAGTTTCTCAATTCATACAAAACCGCATCCAGGCCATCACCAATAATTCTATACAACAAATGCTTCTTCTGACAACTCCACAATATCACTCCTTACCCCAAAATCTTTCTTCAGTTTAATCTCTCCTACTCTAGGTTCCCACACCGCCCCTAATCCCACTTGAAGCAGCCCTGAGAAACATCACCTATTATCTCTCCATACCACCCCCCCAAATTTTTGCTGCCCCAACACTTCACCACTATTTTGTTTTGTTTTTCTTATTAATATATGAAGACAGAAATGTCAGGCCTCTGAGCACAAGCTAAGCCATCATATCCCCTGTGAACTGCGTGTATACATCCAGATGGCTTGAAGCAACTGAAGATCCACAAAAGAAGTGAAAATAGCCTTAACTGATGACATTCCACCATTGTGATTTGTTCCTGCCCTACCCTAACTGAAAATATATATTCTCCCCCACCCTTAAGAAGGTACTTTGTAATATTCTTCCCCACCCTTAAGAAGGTACTTTGTAATATTCTCCCCCTGCCCTTAAGAAGGTACTTTGTACACCTATCCCAAACCAGTAAGAACTAATGATAATCTCACCACCATTTACTGACTCATTTTTCGGACTCAGTCTGCCTGCACCCAGGTGAAATAAACAGCCTTGTTGCTCACACAAAGCCTGTTTCGTGGTCTCTTTACACGGACATGTGAGACACTAGCCATTTACAAACTTGGGGCTCTGGCAAGGGTAGTGGGGAATAGTTCCCACGTAACTGCCCATGTCTAGAGCTGTATGCCTAAATTGGGAGGGACACCAGGGGTAAGACTCCCTGGGTTCATAGTCTACATGCCTAAGGATGCAGTGTAGAGCTTCCTTAGATCCCTTTGGAGATATAACTTGCTCTAATACTTGGAGAGGAAATGAAAGTCTGAAGCATTAGTACCTAGGAGGCAGGGATCGGAGGAAGTAGATTCAGAGGTAAGGAGAATTTTGGGGCTACACTTTCAAGAAAGTCATGGTCAGGACCCAGGAGGTATGGGTCAGAAGGAGAGGTAGGGGCGCATGCATGGGCAACTGTTGAGTAGAGACTTCTGGCTGTGCCATGATCTCGACTGGCCAATGCCAGGAGTTCAGGATGACAGCTTTCTGCCTCTAGTCGGCCCTTGGCTTCCCCCAGGAAATTGTGAAAGCAGAAGCTGGTTCCAGGCAGACCAGTGCTCCCAACCCAGAAGGGTTGGGGGTTGTTAGAAAGCCTTTTCCCAGGAAGCCTCACACTTGAGTCTTAAGTCCAGCAGCCATGCTAATCATTTTTAACTGGCCAACAGGTGCCCAGTATTTTCCTCCAGTTCTAAGGAAGGATAGGACAGAATAGCAAGCAAAAGTGGTACAATATTACTCACTGCTTTGGAGAATCCCTGTATGGTTGCCACCAAATGTTACGGGTGGGTCTTTGTTCTGCACATGTATTTTTTACATGCATAGAATGTGTAATGATCAAGTCAGGGTATTTGGGGTACCTATCACCTTGAGTATTTATCATTTCTATGTATTGGTAACATTTCAAATCCTCTCTTCTAGCTACTTTGAAATGTACAATGCATTGTTGCCAACTATAGGCACCCTACTGTGCAAGAGAATACTGGGGCTTCTTTGTTCTATCTAACTATATGTTTGTACCAGTTAACAAATCTCTCTTTATCCTCCCTCCCACCCACACATTCTTCTTAGCCTTTGTTATCTATCATTCTTTTCTCTGTCTCCAGGAGATCAATTTTTTTAAACTCCCATATATGAGTGAGAACATGAGGTATCTGTCTTTCTGTGTCTAAGTTTTTTCATTTAAAGTAATGACCTCTAGCTCCATCCATGTTGCTGCAAATGACATAATTTCATTCTTTCTTATGTCCAAATCACATTTGACTTGTATATGTGTGTATGTGTGTGTGTGTGTACATATATATATATATACGCATACATGTATGTCACATTTTCTATATTCATTCATCTATCGATGACACAGATTGATTCTATATCTTTGCTATTGTGAATAGCACAGTCATAAACATGCAAGTGCAGGCATTCCTTTGGTATACAGACTTCCTTTGGACAAATATCCAGTAGTGGGATTGCCCGATCATATGGTAGTTCTACTTTTAGTTTTGTGAGAAATCCTGATACTGTTTTCCATTGTGGTTGTACTAATTTACATTCCCACTAACAGTGTATAAGATTTCCCTTTTCTCCACATCCTCACCAGCATCTGTTATTTTTTGTAATTTTATTAATAGCCATTCTCATGGGGGTAAGATGATATTTCATTGTGGCTTTGATTTGCATTTCCCTGATGCTTAGTGATGTTGAGCATTTTTTCATATACCTGCTGTCCATTTGTAGTCTTTTTATTTTTTAATTTAATTTAATTTAATTTTTTTTTGAGACAGAGTCTCTTTCTGTAACCCAGGCTGGAGTGCAGTGGCAGGATCATAGCTCACTGTAACCTCAAACTCCTGTGCTCAAGTGATCCTCCTGTCTCAGCCTCCTGAGTAGCTGGGACTACAGGTGCGCACCACCATGCCTGGCTAATTTTTTAAATTTTTGTGGGGACAGGGTCTCAGTATATTTCTCAGACTGGTCTCAAACTCCTGACCTCAAGTAATCCTCCTGCCTTGGCATCCCAAAATGCTGGGATTACAGATGTGAGCCACCATGCCCAGTCTGTATGTCTTCTTTTGAGAAATATGTATTCATGTCATTTGCCCACTTTTAAATGAGATTATTTGTTTTTTTATTATTGTTGAGTTGTTTGATATTCCTGTATATTCTGGCTATTAGTCCCTTGTCAGATGAATAGTTTGCAAATATTTTCTCCCATTCAGTAAGTTGTCTCTTCACTCTGTTGATTGTTTCCTTTGATGTGTAGAAGCTTTTTAGTTCAATATAGTCCCATTTGTCTATTTTTGTTATAGTTTCTGTGCTTTTGAGGTCTTAGCCATAAAATCTTTGCCTAGACTCATGTCTTAAAATATTTTCTCTATGTTTTTTCCTAGCAGTTTTATAGTTTCGGGTCTTATGTTTACAGTTTTAATCCATCTTCAGTGATTTTTGTGTATGGGGAGAGAAAAGGGTCCAGTTTCATTCTTCTGGATACAGATATCCAATTTTCCCAACATCATTTATTGAAGAGGGTATCTTTCCCCCAGTGTATGTTCTTGAAGCTTTTATTGAAAATCAGTTAGCTGTGAATGTGTGGATTTATTTCTGGACTGTCTATTCTGTTCCATTGGTCTATGTGTCTGTTTTTATACCAGTGCCTCAACCTCCCAAGTAGCTGGGATTACAAATGCCTGCCATTATGCCCGGCACATTTTTTTTTTTTTTTGTATTTTTAGTAAAGATGGGGTTTTGCCATGTTGGCCAGGCTTGTCTTGAACTCTTCACCTCAAGTGATCTGCCCACCTCAGCCTCCCAAAGTGCTGGGATTACAGGCGTGAGCCACCACACCCAGCCCTTTTTACTCTTTTTGACTTAATTTTATCTGATATAAGTATAGCTACTTCTGCTTGCTTTTGGTTTCCATTTGCATGGAATATCTTTTTCCATTCCTTTGAGTGTAGATGTTTCTTTCTTGTAGGCACTATTTTGTTGGATTTTGTTTCTTTATCCATTCAGCCAGTCTATATTTTTTAAGTGGAAAATTTAATTCATTCACATTCAAGGCTATTATTGATATGGAGGTTTTATTACTGTCATATTGTTAATTATTTTCTGGTTGTTTTGTATATTCTTTGTTCTTTTCTTCCCTCTTGTTGATAGTAATTGTGGTTTGGTGGTTTACTGTAGTGGTACCACTTAAGTCCTATCTCTTCCTCATTTATGTATTTGGTTTACCAGTGAGTTTTATACTTTTGTGTGTTTTTATTATGGTAAATGTCCTTTCACTTCCAAGTTCAGGACTCCCTTGGACATTTCTTGTAGGGCTGGTCTTGTGGTGTGTTCCCTCAGAATTTACTTGTCTGGGAAAAACTGTTTCTCCTTCATTTATGAATTTTGCTGGATGTAGTGTCCTTGGGTGGCAGGTTTTTTCTCCCAGCACTTTCAATATGTTATCCCATTCTCTCCTGGCCTGCAAGGTTTTGATATGGGTTTCTTTATAGGTGACTAGTTGCTTTTCTCTTACTGTTTTTAGTATTCTATACTTTGCTTTGACTTTAGACAGTTTGATTACAATATGCCATGGAGAAGATCTTTTTCCATTATATTTGTTAGGGAATCTTTGGGCCTCCTCCATCTGGATATCTAGATCTCTTGCTAGATTTGGGAAGTTTTCAACTAATATTTTGTTAAATAAGTTTTCTAACCCTTTGTTTTCTCTTCACTCTCAGGGACAGTGGTAATTTGAATATTTGTTCACTTTATGTTGTACCAAAGGTTACAAAAGCTCTGCTTATTCTTTCTAATTTTTTCTTTATTTTAATCTGCCTGGATTAGTTCAAAAGACTTGTCTTCAAGTTCTGAAATTCTTTTTTCTGTTTGATCTAGACTATTGAAGCTTTCAAATGTATTTTGTATTTAATTCAATGAATTATTCAGTTCCAGAATAAAAAAAAAACTATCTCTTCAGTAAAGTTCTCATTCATATCCTGAATTGTTTTTTTATTTCTGTGTATTGTTTTTCAGAATTATCTCACATCTCTCTGAGCTCTCTTAAACTCTGTATTTTGAATTATTTATCTGGGATTTCATAATTTCTTTTATGGGATCTGCTGTTGGAGATTTATTGTGTTCCTTTGGAAGTATCAGATTCCTTTACTTTTTCTTTTTTTTATGTAAAAACAAACAGTCCAAGAAAACATTTAGATTCCTTTACTTTTTCATGTTTCCTGTGCCTTTACATTGACATCTGTGCACCTAGTGTAACAGTTGCTTATTCCAATTTTTTGTATTTGCTTTCATAGAGGAGTATTTATTCAGGATGTATATGTGTTTTCGGCGGGTAGGGCACTTTGGCTTTGATTTTGGGTGAGTGCACTGGTATAATCTTTCTATGGTTTTTTTCAGTTGTAAATACAATCAGTGGTATCTGTGATTTCCTCAGTGACTTAGGGTGCAGTTATTAGTGGAGGCTGTGGTGAAGTTTTTGCTAGGGACTAGGATGCCAGGTGGGCTAGCCTTTGGGCCCCAGTTTTGGCAGCAGGGGGCTGAGCATGCTGTCATTGGTTCCCAAGGCAGCTTATGCTAGCATTAGTGTTAGTGGGTCCAGGGAGGCTGATTACTGGGCCTCCAGGTGGCTTGCTGTGATGCCAGTAGAGACAGTGGTGGGCTGGGCATGTTGACAGGTTTTTGGGCCCCTGGGCAGAGAGGCTAATGTGGGTGGTGGCAGTAGCAGTAGAGGAACAACTCACTGAAACCCAAGTAGTCTGTGCTGGTGTTGGTGGTGGCTGTGACAGGTTAAGTGGGCCAGTTCCATAGCCCATTGGTGGCATGTACAGGTAGGTACTGTCTTTGGTAGTATTGACAGATTGGGTTGGCCTGACTTCAGATCCTGGGAGGAGTGTTCAAGTGCCAATGATGGTAGACTGGGCCAGAAGATCTCCAGGCCCCTGAATGGCATGCTTGAGTACTGGGGGGACAGGATTGGGCTAGTAGACTTGTCCTCAAGTCCCTGAGTATTGCATTCAGGGGCCAGCTGTGATAGACAGGGCTGGGTGGTCTCCAGGCCACCAGCAGAATCCTCAGGTAGGGGCAGTGGTGGCTGCGAACATTTCTCTAGTTCTCAGAGGAATGTGGAGCCCTGAGGGCCTCTCACCCTTTCTCTAGTGTGTGGGAGCTTATCTCAGCTCCTAGCTGATCCTGGCTGAGCAGGCTGTCTTGCTTCCCTCTTTTTCTTTGCTTTTGGTGCTTCCTGTCACTTCTCTTTTGAATTACATTGTTCTCTCATAGATAATCTATTTGAAGTATGAATATCTACTTGTTATTTTGGCTCATCTCCAAAGAAGAGGTGTGTTCTAGCTGCATCTAGTCAGCTAAATTGAACGCTTGCTTGCTGTAATTTTGTATCATTTAACAAATCTCTCTATCCCTTCCTTCCCCCTACCCTTCCTAATCTCTAGTATCCTCTGTTCTACTTTTTATTTCTATGAGATCAACTTTTTTTTAGCTTCCATATATGAATGAGAACATGCAGGGTTTAACTTTCTGTTTCTGGCTTATTTCACTTAATGCAATGTTTGCCAGTTTCATCCATGTTGCTGCAAATGACAGGATTTCATTCTTTTATATAGGTGAATAGTAAACCATTGTGTATACACACTACATTTTCTTCATCCAATTATATCTTGTTGGACACCCAGGTTGATTTTATATCTTGGCTATTGTGAATAGTGCTGTAATAAACATCAGGGTGCAGATGTCTCTCTGATATAATTATATCCTTTCTATTGGATAAATTCCTATTAGTGAGATTGCTGGATCATATGTTCCCATATGATCTATTTGTAGTTTTTTTTTTTTGAGGAAACTCCATAGTGCTCTTCATAGTGGCTGTACTAGTTTATATTTCCACCAGCAGTGTATAGGAATTCCCTTTTCTCCACATCCTTGTCAGCATTTGTTATTTTTTGTCTTTTTGATAATAGCCATCCTAACTGGGGTGAGATGATACCTCACTGTGGTTTTGATTTGCATTTCCTGGATGATTAGTGATGTTTAGCATTTTAAAATTATACCTGTTGGCCATTTATATGTCCTCTCTTGAGAAGTGTCTGTTCAGGTCACTTGCCCATTTTTAAATCAGATTGTTTTTTGACTGTTAAGAAGTTTGAGTTCTTTATATATTCTGGATATAAATTTCCTGTTGGATAAGTAGTTTGAAAATATTTTCACCCATTCTGTAAGTTGTTTTTTCCCTCTGTTGATGGTTTCTGTTGTTGTGCAAAAGCTTTTTGGTTTGGTAATCCCATTTGCTTGTTTTTGCTTTTGTTGCCTGTGCTTATAAGGTATTATCCATAAAATCTTTTTCCAGACCAATGTCCTGAAGTGTTTCCCCTATGTTTTCTTCCAGTAGTTTAATTGTTGTGTGTCTTACATTTAGGTCTTAGATCCATTTTCAGTTAATTTTTGTATAGGGTGAGTGGTGGGAGCCTAGTTTCATTCTGCATGTTGGTATCCAGTTTTCCTAGCATCACGTTTATTTTTTTGAGACAGAATCTCACTCTGTTGCCCAGGCTGGAGAGCAGTGGTGCAGTCACAGCACACTGCAGCCTTGACTTCCCAGGCTCAAGCAAGGGAAGAGGTGAGAGGTCACCTCAGCCTCCCAAAGTGCTGGAATTATAGATGTGAGCCATTGGACCCAGCCCCCAGCATCATTTATTGAAGAGGTGTCCCAATGAGTGTTCTTGACATCTTTGTCAAAAATCAGTTGGCTGTAAATATGTGGATTAATTTCTGGGTTCTCTACTCTGTTCTATTGGTCTATGTGTCTGTTTTTATGCAATACCATGTGTTTTGGTTACTATAGCTCTGTAGTATATGTTGAGGTCTGGTATTGTGATATCTCTAGCATTGTTCTTTTTGCTCAGGGTTGCTTTGGCCATTTGGAGTCTTTTGTGGTTCCACACAAATTTTAGGATTTTTTTTTTCTATTTCTCTGAAAAATGTCATTGGTATTTTCATAGGGATTGGATTGAATCTGCAGATTGCATTGGTTAGGATTGTCATTTTAATTATATGAATTATTCCATTCCATGAGGATGGGATATTTTTCCATTTGTTTGTATCATCTTCATTTTCTTTATTTTAAATCAGTTTTTTGTAGTTTTCTTGAGGAGGTCTTTCACCTTCTTGGTTAAATTTATTCCTAGGTATTTTATATATTTTTTGCTATTGTAAATGGGATTGCCCTCTTGATTTCTTTTTCAGCTAGTTTGCTGTTTGTGTATAGAGCTGCTACTGATTTTTGTATATTAAGTTTGTATCCTGCAATTTTACTGAATTCATTTATCGGTTCTAAGAAAAAAAAAACCCTTTAGGTTTTTCTATATATAAGATTATGTCATCTGCAAACAGGAATAATTTGATTTCCTCCTTTCCAATTTCAATACCTTTTATTTCTTTTTCTTGCCTGACTGCTCTGACTAGCACTTCCAGCACTATGTTGACTACAAATGGTGAAGGTAGGTATCTTTGCCCAGTTATACTTCTTAGAGGAAAATCTTTAAGCTTTTCTCAGTTCAGTAAGATATTAGTTGTGGATTTATCATATAAGGCCTTTATTAGGTTGAGGTACTTTCCTTTTATACCTAATTTATTAAGGGTTTTTATAATAAAGAAATGTTGAATTTTATAAAAAGCTTTTTCTGCATCTATTGAGATTATCATAGTATTTTATCCTCCATTCTATTGATGTGATGGGTGACAATTATTGATATGCATATTTTGAATCATCTTTGCATTCCTGGTATAAATCCCACTCAATCATGGGGTATTATGTTTCTGATGTGCTGTTAGATTTGGTTTTCTAGTATTTGCTGAGGATTTTTGCATTTATGTTCACTAGAGGTATTGCCCTGTTGTGTCCTTGTCTGGTGTTGGTATCAGGATTATGCTGGCCTCATAGAATGAGTTAGGAAGAATTCCTTCTGATCTAATATTTTGGAATAGTTTGAGAATAATTGGTAATAATTCTTTAAAGGTTCAGTAGAATTAAGCAATGGAGCAATTGGTCCTGGACTTTTCTCTGTTGGAAGGATTTTTATTACTATTTGATTTTGTTGCTTGTTACTGATCTGTTTGTGTTTTCTGTTTCTTCTTGGTTCAATCTTGGTAAGTTGTATGTTTCCAGGAATTTATCCATTTCCTTCAGATTTTCCAGTTTGTCAGCATATGATTGTTCACAATATTCTGTAATGATCTTTTGTATTTCTATGGTATACATTGTAATGTCTTCTTTTTTGTTTCTGATTTCATTTATTTGGGTTCTCTCTCTTTTCTCTTAGTCTATTAAATGATTTGTTAGTTTTGTTTATCTTTTCAAAAAATCAACTTTTGCTTCATTGATCCTTTGTATTGTTATTGTTTTTCTAGTCTCAGTTTCATTTATTTTTGCCCTTATTATTTATTTCTTTCTATTAATTTTGGGTATGGTTTGTTCCTGCTTTTTTAGTTTTTTGAGGAACATTGTTAGGTTGTTTGAGACCTTTTTAGTTTTTTGATGTAGGCATTTATTGCTATATACTTGCTTCTTAATACTGCTTTTGCTGTATCCTACAGGTTTTGGTATGTGTATTTGTATTTTCATTTTTTCCAGGAATTTAAAAATTTTACTCTTAATTTATTTCTTCACCGATTGGTCATTCAGGAGCATGTTGTTTAATTTCCATTCATTTGTATAGTTTCCAAAGTTCCTGTTGGTGTTGATAACTAGTTTTATTCCACTGTGGTCTGAGAAGACACTTAATATAATTTTGATTCTTTAAAACTTGTTGAGACTGTTTTGTGGCCTAATATATGGTCCATCCTGGAGAATGTTCTGTGTTCTGATGAAAATAATGTGTATTCTGTAGCAATTGGGTGAAAGGTTCTGTAAATATCTCTTAGGTCCACTAGGTCTATGGTGCAGTTTAAATCTGATGTTTCTTTGTTGATTTTCTGTCTAGATGATCTGTCCAGGGACAAGAGTAGGGTGTTGCAGTCCCCAACTGTTATTATATTAGGACCTGTCTCTTCCCTTAGATCTAATAATATTTGCTTTATTTGTATGTGAGTGCTCCAGTGTTGGGTGCCCATATATTTACAACAGTTATATTCTCTCATTGAATTGACACCTTTGCTGTTATATAATGTCCTTCTTTAGCTCTTTACAGCTTTTAACTTGAAGTCTGTTTTGTCTGATATAAGTATAGCTACTCCTGCTCAAATATGGTTTCCTTTTGCATGGAGTATCTTTTTCTATCTGTCCTCTTTCAGTCTGTGTGTCTTTAAAGGTAAGCAGCATATGACTGGGTCTTGTGTTTTTATCCATTCAGCCAGTGTATGTGTATACATATATATATATATGTGTATATATATATGTGTGTGTATATATATATATATGTGTATATATATACATATATATGTATATGTATATATATACACATATATATGTATATGTATATATATATACACATATATATATATATATACACATATATATATATATTTTGTGAGCAACAAGGCTGTTTATTTCACCTGGGTGCAAGCAGGCTAAGTCCAAAAAGACAGTCAGCAAGGGTGGTGGGATTATCATTAGTTCTTATTGGTTTGGGGATAGGCGGTGGAGTTAGGAGCAATGTTTTGCAGGCAGGGGGTGGATTTCACAAAGTACATTCTCAAGGGTGAGGAGAATTACAAAGAACCTTCTTAAGGGTAGGGGAGATTACAAAGAATCTTCTTAAGGGTGGGGGAAATTACAAAGTACATTGATCAGTTAGGGTGGGGCAGAAACAAATCACAATGATGGAATGTCATCAGTTAAGGCTGTTTTCACTTCTTTTGTGGATCTTCAGTTGCTTTAGGCCATCTGGATGTATACACGCAGGTCACAGGGGCTATAATGGCTTTGCTTGTGCTCAGAGGCCTGACATTCCTGTCTTCTTATATTAATAAGAAAAACAAAACAAAATAGTGAAGTGTTGGAGTGGTGAAAAATTTTGGGGGTGGCATGGAGAGATAATAGGCGATGTTTCTCAGGGCTGCTTCAAGCAGGATTAGGGGCAATGTGGGAACCTAGAGTGGGAGAGATTAAGCTGAAGGAAGATTTTCTGGTAAGGGGTGATATTGTGGAGTTGTTAGAAGGAGGATTTTTTGTATAGAATTATTGGTAATGTCCTGGATGCGGTTTTGTATGAATTGAGAAACTAAATGAAAGACACAAGGTCTGAAGAAAAGAAGGAGAAAAATAGATATTGAATGACTAGAAATTGGGAGTGCCCAGGATGTCCAATTAGAGTGTCCAAGGGGATTCAATGTTACTGTTTTCTTGATTGGTGAGTTTTTTGGCTCTATCCTTGAGTTTTTTTATACCATGCCAGATTGATTTAGATAAAAACAACACTCTTCATTTAAAAATATACAGAGTCCCCCTTCCCCTTTTTTTTAGCAGTGAGTAAGTCAGGGCCTTGGTGATTTTGGAGGAAAGAGAAATGCAAAGCCAGCAATTGTTTGTTAAAGAAGGATTAGAAATGGCTAGGAGAGAGTGAGTTTGATAGTGTGGTGGAGATAGCTGGGGAGAGGTAGAGGGTGGCATAAGAATAGGAACCAGAATAAGAGTGAGTATAAAAGTAAAGAATAGGACTTCATCAGGGTGAAAGTATTGGAGTGTACTTTGTCAATGAAGATCTTCTATCCACTTAAACAGAGACTTAAGGGTGGCAGTTTGAGGTAAAACCAGGCACCACTGAATACCAAGAGCCTGAGAAACTGCTTGGGTGATTGGACTAGTAAAGGCCGGTCTGTTATCGGACTGTATAGAGGTGGGAAGGCCAAACCGAGGAATTATGTCTGACAGAAGGGAAGAAATGACCATGGTGGCCTCCTCAGACCCTGTGGGAAAGGCCTCTACCCATCCAGTGAAAGTGTCTACCCAGACCAAGACGCATTTTAGTTTCCTGACTCAAGGCGTATGAGTAAAGTCAATTTGCCAGTCCTGGTTGGGGGCAAATCCCTGAGATTGATGTGTAGGGAAAGGAGGGGGCCTGAACAATCCCTGAGGAGTAGTAGAATAGCAGATGGAACACTGAGAAGTGATTTCCTTAAGGATAGATTTCCATGGTGGAAAGGAAATGAGAAGTTCTAAGAGTCAGGCTAGTGGCTTGTAACCTACATGGGAGAAGCTATGAAATGACGACAGAATAGAATGGGCCTGTGAGGCTGGAAGGAGATACTTTCCTTGGTCCAAGAACCATTTGCCTTGTGTGGGAAGAGATTGATAGGTGGAAGTTTCAGTGGGGGAGTAGGTGGGAGTGACCAGATAAGAAGGAGAAAAGCTGCTGTGAGGGATAGAAGTTGGAATGCTAGCTGCTTTTTTAGCTACCTTATCAGCATAAGCATTGCCCTGAATGATGGGATCTGATGCCTTTTGATGGTGCTTGCAGTGAATGACTCCAGCTTCCTTTGGAAGTAAAGTGGCCTTGAGAAGAGTTTTTATTAAAGAGGCGTTAATGATGGAGGACCCTTGCATAGTGAGGAAACCTCTTTCAGACCATATAACAGCATGGTGGTGCAGGATATGGAAGGCATATTCAGAGTCACTATAAATATTGACGCAAAATTCCTTTGCAAGAGTGAGGGCTCAAGTTAAGGCAATGAGTTCAGCTTGCTGAGAGGTAGTGGAGGGGTGCAGAGTGGTAGCCTCAATGATAGATGTGGAAGATACTCTAGCATAGCCTTCCTTTGCTGGTGAGTGGAGATTAGGCCTGGTGGAACTGCCATCAATAAACCAAGTGTGATCAGGGTGAGGAACACGAAAGAAGGAAATACGGGGAAATGGAGTGAATGTCAGGTGGATCAGAGAGATACAGTCATGGGGGACAGTTGTGGTATCAGGAATAATGTGGGAGGCCAGACTGAAGTCCAGGCCAGGAACAATGGTAACTGTCGGGGACTCAACAAAGAGTGAGTACAGCTGAAGGGGCCAGGGAGCAGAAAGTATATGTGTCAGGTATGAGGAAGAAAATAGATTTTGGAAGTTATGAGAACTGTAGAGGGTGAGTTGAGCATAGTTTGTGATTTTGAGGGTCTCTAAAAGTATTAGGGCACCAGCAGCTGCTGCATGGAGACATGATGGCCAGCCTAAAACAGTAAGGTCAGGTTGTTTGGACAAAAAGCCTACAGGGTGTGGTCCTGGCTCTTGTGTAAGAATTTTGACCGCACAGTCCTGTACTTTGGCTGTGTGTAACGAAAAGGGTTGGGATGAGTTAGAGAGAGCTAGTGTGGGGGCAGCTTCTAGGGCTGTTTTTAAGGAACGG
The DNA here is from genome assembly GCF_000001405.40 of Homo sapiens. Taxonomy (NCBI): domain Eukaryota; kingdom Metazoa; phylum Chordata; class Mammalia; order Primates; family Hominidae; genus Homo; species Homo sapiens. Next base: position 205,887,380 of record NC_000001.11, read on the forward strand.
AAAGGGAAGTGGCAAAAGGATTTAGGATCTATGGGGTCAGCTAGGTTTCCTTTTGTGAGTTTATATAATGGTTTAGTCAGGATGGTAAAACTAGGTATCCAAAGGTGGAAGTACCTAACCATGCCTAGGAAGGGAAGAAGTTGTTATTTTGTAGAAGGGGTTGGGGTTTGGGAGATTGGCTGGACATGATCAGCTGGGGGAGCACGTTGTTTTCATGAAGAATTATGCTGAGATAGGTAATGGATGAGGAAGAAATTTGGGCTTGACTGAAGTAATGGGGGCTGTCCATGAAGCCTTGTGGCAGTACAGCCCTGGTAAGTTGCTGAGGCTGATGGGTGTCAGGGTCAGTCCAAGTGAAAGTGAAGAGAGGCTGGAATGAAAGGTGCAAAGGAATAGTAAAGAAAGCATATTTGAGATCTAGAACAGAATAATGGGTTATGGAGGAGTTGTGGAGGGAGGCATTGAGGATAGGAGAGTATATGGTTTTGGCACCATGGAGTGGATAGGCAAGACAATTTGGTCGATAAGGCACAGATCCTGAACTAACCTGTAAGGCTTGTCTGGTTTTTGGACAGGTAAAATGAGGGAATTGTAAGGAGAGTTTATAGGCTTTAAAAGGCCATGCTGTAACAGGTGAGTGATAACAGGCTTTAATCCTTTAAGTGTGCTGTGGGATGGGATATTGGCATGATAAGGGTGATTATGTTTAATGGGATAGTAATGGGTGTGTGATCAGTTGCCAGTGAGGGAGTAGAGGTATCCCACACTTGTGGATTAAGGTGGGGAGATAACAAGGGAGGATGTGAAGGAGGTTTTGAACTGGGGAAAAGGGCAGCAATGAGGTGTGGCTGTAGCCTAGGAATAGTCAGGGAAGCAGACAATTTAGTTAAAATGTCTTGACCTAATAAGGGAGCTGGGCAGGTGGGGATAACTAAAAAGGAGTACATTAAAGAATATTGTCCAAGTTGGCACCAGAGTTGGGGAGTTTTAAGATGTTTAGAAGCCTGGCCATCAATACGCACAACAGTTATGGAGGCAAGGGAACAGGCCCTTGAAAAGAAGGTAGTGTGGAGTTGGTAGCCTCTGTATTGATTAAGAAGGGGACAGACTTACCCTCCACTGTAAGTTACCCAAAACTCGGCATCCGTGACAGTTCAGGGGGCTTCTGAGGTGATTGGCAGTGTCAGTGTTCAGCCACTAAGCCAAGAAGACCTGGGAAGGAGACAGTCAGAGCCTTGGGCCAGTTGGACAGTCCAATTTCCAGTGGGGTCCCGCACAGATGGGACACAGCTTAGGAGGAATCCCAGGCTGCAGGCATTCCTTGGCCCAGTGGCCAGACTTCCAGCACTTAAAGCAAGATCCTGGGGGAGGAAGTCCTGAAGGGATGCCTGGCTGCTGTGGCTTAGGCATTTTGAAGTTTTTGTGTGCTGGAGATATGGCTGGGGTTTCTCTCACAGCAGAGGCAAGTAATTGCAACTCTTCTCTATTATCATACACCTTGAAGGTGCAGTTAATTAAGTCCTGTTGTGGGGTTTGAGGGCCAGAATCTAATTTTTGGAGCTTTTTCTAATGTCAGCAGCAGATTGGGTAATAAAATGCATAGAGAATAAGATAGCCTTCTGGCCCCTCTGGGTCTAGGGCAGTAAAGCGTCTAAGGGTTGTTGCCAAATGGGCCATGAACTGGGCTGAGTTTTTATATTTGATGTTAAAAACTGATTTGGGAGAGGTCGGATAAAGAAAAAAAGGAGCATTAACCTTGACTATGCCTTTAGCTCCAGCCACCTCTTTAACAGGAAATTGTTGGGCAGGTGGGGGAGGGCTAGTTGCAGAACGAAACTGTAAGCCAGATTGGGTGTGAGGAGGGGAAGTGATAGAAAGATTATAGGGTGGGGGAGCAGAGGCTGAGGAAGAATTGGGTCCTAGCTTGGCCTGGCGAGGAGCAGCCTGGGGAGAAGGGGAGAGGTCAGATCAGTCTGTAGAAAAGAAGGATTCAAAGGACTCAGAGTTTGGGGTGGAGACTGAAGGAACAGACAGGAGCTAAAGAAGAAAGATTTGGGATGAGTTGCATTGGGCACAGAGACTAGGGAGGGACCAATGTGTATTAGAAGGCCTGGATGTCAGGCACCTCAGACCATTTGCCCATTTTTCAACAAAAATTATCTAGGTCTCGGAGGATGGAGAAATCAAAAGTGCCATTTTCTGGCCATTTAGAACCATTGTCGAGTTTGTATTGGGGCCAAGCAGTGTTGCAGAAGAAAATAAGACATTTAGATTTTAGTTCAGGTGATAGTTGAAGAAATTTTAAGTTCTTGAGAACACAGGCTAAGGGAGAAGAAGGAGGAATGGAGGGTGGAAGTTTGCCCATAGTGAAGGAGGCAAGTTTAAAGAGAAAGGTAGAGACATGGAGAAAGGGTTGGGGAGCAGCCCTGGGCTGCAATGTGGGTGAGCAGCCAAAGCAGGCATCCCCGCAATTGACTTGCCACCAAGGGAATGTGGTTGAATGACCAAGGCAGGCATCCCTGAAGATATCAGACGCCAATGGAATGTGGGTGAATAATCAGGCAGGCATCCCCGGAATGATTAAACACTAAGGGAAGGCTGCCTTCCTGAGTACATGACCAGCACCAGAGTTTTGGGTCCATGGATAAAATGTGTCTCCTTTGTCTCTACTAGAAAATGAAAGGAATTGAAATTAAGAGAAGAGAGGGAGTGAAGGGTGGCACCAAGAATGAAAGGAGAAAGAGGTTGAGGGATAGTGAGAAAGGTTGGAGAAGAGAGTAAAAAGAGGCCACTTACCCGATTTAAAATTTGTGAGATGTTCCTTGGGCTGGTTGGTCTGAGGACCAAAGGTCGTAGGTGGATCTCTTCATGGAGTGAGGGTGAGGACAGGGGACAGTCTCCTGAAGGAGTCCTGCTGACCTGGGTCTTTGGCACCAAATGTGTCATGCATCCATGTGAAGAGACCACCAAACAAGCTTTGTGTGAGCAACAAGGCTGTTTATTTCACCTGGGTGCAGACGAGTTGAGTCCAAAAAGAGAGTCAGCCCAGTCTATATCTTTTAAATGGGAAAATTCAATCTATTTACATGCAACGTTATTCTTGATAGGTGAGTACTTACATCTAGCATTCTATTATTTTCTGCTTGTTTTGTATATCCTTTGTTCCTTCCTCTCTTACTGTTTACTTTTGTGGTTGGGCAGTTTTCTGTAGGGATAAGATTTGAGTCTTATCTCTTTCTCCCTATGTGTTAGCTTTACCAGTGAGTTTTTATAGTTTCACATATTTTTATGATGCTGGTTATCATCTTCTCTGTGGGGAACAGGCCCCCCAAAACCTGGCCATAAACTGGCCCCAAAACTGGCCATAAACAAAATCTCTGCAGCACTGTGACATGTACATGATGGTCTTAACGCCCACGCTGGAAGGTTGTGGGTTTACCAGAATGAGGGCAAGGAACACCTGGCCCACCCAGGGTGGAAAACCGCTTAAAGGCATTCTTAAACCACAAACAATAGCATGAGTGATCTGTGCCTTAAGGCCATGCTCCTGCTGCAGATAGCTAGTCCAACCCATCCCTTTATTTCAGCCCATCTCTTCATTTCCCATAAGGAATAATTTTAGTTAATCTAATATCTATAGAAAGAATGCTAATGACTAGCTTGCTGTTAATAAATACATGGGTAAACCTCTGTTGGAGGCTCTCAGCTCTGAAGGCTGTGAGACCCTTGATTTCCTACTTCACTCCTCTATATTTCTGTGTCTTTAATTCCTCTAGTGCCACTGGGTTAGAGTCTCCCCGACCAAGCTGGTCTCAGCAAGTGGTCTCCATCATGGGGGCTCGAATCCAGGTTGAAGGGTCACCAGAGTGATGGTTGGAGAACATGGAACTAGCTGGAGGACACCTGAGTACTCTTAAAGCAAACCCCGTGGTGAGTAAGAAGGGGAGCTCAGAAGCATCAGGGTAACAATGGGACAAGTGTGGGGTCTGGTTCGTTCCATCTTGGAACTTTTTCACACTGATGATGAGGAAGAAGGAGAGTATAATGAAGTAACAGAAGAGGTTATAGAGCAGGTTTATTTGCCAGCTAAAGCTAAAGTGGCAAAGGAGGGAGAGGTTCATCCCTACCCTTCTGCACCCCCTCATTATTATTTTGAAGAAAAAGAGTGGCCTGACCCTCCAGATCTTTCTTTTCCAGAGGACAGTGGGCAAAAATTAGTTGCCCCAGTGACTGTTCAAGCAGCACCTCGAGCGACTGCTCTTAGTTCTATTCAGTCAGGAATTCAGCAAGCTAGATGAGAAGGTGATTAAGAGGCTTGGCAGTTCCCTGTTAGACTACACTGCCCAGACCAACAGGGAAATATTGTAGCTACATTTGAGCCTTTTTGTTTTAAATTACTCAAAGAATTTAAACAAGCTATTAATCAGTATGGACCAGGTTCTCCTTTTGTAATGGGACTATTAAAGAACATTGCTGTTTCCAGTCAGATGATTCCTACTGACTGGGACGCTCTTACTCAAGCTTGTCTAACTCCTGCTTAGTTCTTACAATTTAAAACTTGGTGGGCAGATGAAGCTTCCATTCAGGCTTCTCACAACACGCAGGACCAACCTCAAATTAATATAACTGCAGACCAACTTTTGGGGGTTGGCAGTTGGGCTGGTTTAGATGCACAAATGGTCATGCAGGATGATGCCATAGAACAGCTTAGAGGAGCGTGCATTAGAGCTTGGGGAAAAAAAATCACTTCAAGTGGAGAACAATACCCTTTCTTTAGTGCTATAAAACAGGGACCAGAAGAATCATATGTGGATTTTATAGCTCAGTTACAGGAGTCTCTTAAAAAGATGACTGCAGATTTGGCTGCTCAGGATATAGTGTTGCAATTATTAGCTTTCAACAATGCTAATCCTGATTGCCAGGCTGCTCTGTGACCTATCAGAGGGAAAGCACATTTAGTTGATTATATCAAGGCCTGTGGTGGTATCAGAGGTAATCTGCATCAGGCCACCTGCTAGCACGGGCAATGGCAGGACTGAGAGTGGATACAGAAAGTACTCCATTTCCTGGAGCTTGTTTTAACTGTGGGAAGCATGGTCATACTGAAAAAAAAAAAAGTAGAAAAAAATCAGCAAGTCGGGCCACCAGATAGGGGAAAAAAGAAAACTGCTGAGCCTGAAATATGTCCAAAATGTAAAAAAGGAAAACACTGGGCTAATCACTCTAAGTTTGATAAAGATGGGAACCTGATTTCAGGAAAAGCCATGAGGGGCCCATCCTGGGCCCCATTCCAAACTGGGGCATTTCCAGCTCGGGTCATTCCCTCACCCCTGTACAATGCCTGTCCCCCACCACAGCTGGTAGAGCCACACTAGATTTATGCTGCAGTAGATTTATGCTGAGTCTTCTGCCTGGGGAACCCCTGCAAAAGGTCCCAACAGGAGTCTGTGGTCCCTTGCCAGCAGGGACAATAGGATTAGTTCTAGGCAGTTCTAGTTTAAATTTAAAAGGGGTACAAATACATACAAGAGTCATTGATTCAGATTACAATGGGGAAATTCAAATTGTTATATCTACTTCTGTTCCCTGGAAAGCAGAGCCAGGAGAGTGCATAGCACAGCTCCTGATTGTGTCATATGTGGGAATGGGAAAAAGTGAAATTAAATGAACAGGAGGATTTGGAAGCACAAATAAACAAGGCAAAGCAGCTTATTGGGTAAATCAAATTACTGATACACATCCTACCTGTGAAATAACTATTCAGGGAAATAAATTTAAAGGTTTGGTAGATACAGGAGTGGACATTTTCTCTACAGCACTGGCCGTCTGCATGGCCAATTCAACCCACTCAATTCAACTCCAATAGTTGGAGTTGGTAAAGTCCCTGAAGTATATCAAAGTAGCTATATTTTGCATTGTGAAGGGCCTGATGGACAACCTGGGACTATTCAACCAATTATAACTTCTGTACCCATAAATTTCTGAGGAAGGGATTTATTACAACAATGGGGAGTACAAGTTCTAATTCCAGAACAATTATATAGCCCTCAAAGTCAACATATGATGCATATAATGGGGTATGTTCCTGGTATTGGACTAGGAAAAAATTTGCGAGTTTTGAAAGAACCACTGCAAGTGGAAAGACAAAATTCCTGCCAAGGCTTAGGATATCATTTTTGATGGCAGCCATTGTTAAGCCTCCAGAACCTATACCTTTAAAATGGTTAACAGATAAGCCAATTTGGATAGAACAATGGCTGCTAAGTAAAGAGAAACTGGAGGCTTTAGAGAAATTAGTTCAATTAGAAAATGGGCACATAGCCCCAACATTTTCTGCTTGGGATTCTCCAGTTTTCATAATTAAGAAAAATTCAGGTAAATAGAAAATGTTAACTGACTTAAGAGCCATCAATTCAGTTATACAACCTATGGGAGCATTACAGCCAGGATTGCCTTCTCCTGCTATAATTCCAAAAAATTGGCCTTTAATAGTCATAGATTTGAAAGACTGTTTCTTTACTATCCCTTTGGCTGAGCAAGACTGTGAATGGTTTGCATTTACAATTCTTGCAGTAAACAACCTGCAGCCTGCTAAGCATTTTCATTGTTTTACAGATGGGTCTAGTAATGGTAAAACTTCTTATTCTGGCTCAAAAAGTAAAGTTTTCCAGATGCCCTATACTTCAGCTCAAAAAGTGGAGCTTGTAGCTGTAATTGAGGTATTGACTGCTTTTGATATGCCTGTTAATGTGATTTCTGATTCTTCATATATGGTTCTTTCCACACAGTTAATTGAAAATGCTCAGTTACGATTTCATACAGATGAACAACTGAAGACAAAAACAACAAAGGGGGAGAAAGAGGGATTATGGGACAGCCCATATACAATTGAATCTAGCATTATTAACTTTAAATTTTTTGAGTCTGCCTAAAGGCCAGATGTTATCAGCAGCTGAACAGCATTTACAGAAACCGGCTGCAAAGACAGAAGCAGAACAACTGGTTTGGTGGAGAGATCCGATAACAAAAAGTTGGGAAATAGGTAAAATAATAACTTGGGGTAGAGGTTATGTTTGTGTTTCTCCAGGCCAAAATCAATAACCAATTTGGATACCATCAAGACACCTGAAACCTTATCATGAGCCAGATGCTGAGGAAGAGATTCCAGGAGGATCCTGAGGACCCCCTGGTTGCAGCCACGTCGAGGCTGACACTGAGGAGGACCCCAACTGTCATGAGCAACACCCGTCGAACACAGCCATCCACCTGGGGACAAATCAAGAAGCTGTCACAGATGATGGAAGAAAACCTGAGGAAAGCGGGACAACCAATCACAATGAGTAATTTGGTGATCTATCACAGTGATGATCACCATTGCCATGAGTATTCCTTCAACAAGGGCTGACACAGAGAACAATTATACTTATTGGGCATATTTATCAATCTTGTCTGGCAATAATGCCTAGATGATTTCACTCTATGGCACAGTTACACATGCTTTCTGATCTCAGTATTTACCATAATAAATCTGCTCCTATAATTGAGGCATACCACCCTCAAAAACCTATTTGTAAACAAAATAGAACCTGGCCAGAAATAATGAACAACTTGTTTAGTAAGATTGCATTGCAGAACAGGCAGAGATGCTACGCAATGATTCCTATGGGATCATTGATTGGTCCCCTAAGGGGATGTTTAGCTTAAATTGCACCTCTCAGTCTGCATGCCATGGCCACACTAGTTCAGATGGTCTGAACAAAGTGGTCAGATGGCAGAAATGATAAGAAGTATGGCAAAAGTTCCTATTGTCTGGAACCATGGCAGTATAGTGTCACCTCAACCTCAAATGATATGGCTCATTGTAGGAGCTAAACATAAGGATTTGTGGAAACTATTAATAGCTCTTAATAAGATCAAAATTTGGGAAAGAATAAAAAAAGCATCTAGAAAGACACTCTACAAACTTGTCTTTGGATATTACAAAATTAAAAGAACAAATATTTAAAGCATCCCAGGTACACCTGACCTTAATGACAGAAACTGGAGTGCTTGAAGGAGCTGCAGACAGATTAGCAGCTAGTAACCCATTAAAATGGATAAAAACACTTGGAAGCTCTGTGATTTCAATGATGATTGTGCTTTTAATCGGTATTGTTTGTCTTTGTATAGTGTGCAGATGTGGATCCTGACTCCTGTGAGAAGTAGCTCACAGTGTCAAAGCTGCCTTTGCTTTTATCGATTTGCAAATCAAATAAGGGGGACATATTGGGAACAGCACCCCCCCCCCCAAAATCTGGCCATAAACTGGTCCCAAAACTGGCCATAAACAAAATCTCTGCAGCACTGACATGTTCATGATGGTCTTAATGCCCACGCTGGAAGGTTGTGGGTTTACCAGAATGAGAGCAAGGAACACCTGGCCCACCCAGGGTGGAAAACCACTTAAAGGCATTCTTAAACCACAAACAATAGCATGAGTGATCTGTGCCTTAAGGCTGTGCTACTGCTGCAGATAACTAGCCCAACCCATCCCTTTATTTCAGCCCATCCCTTCGTTTCCCATAAGGGATACTTTTAATTAATCTAATATGTATAGAAAGAATGCTAATGACTGGCTTGCTGTTAATAAATAACGTGGGTAAATCTCTGTTGGAGGCTCTCAGCTCTGAAGGCTGTGAGACCCCGGATTTCCCACTTCACACCTCTGTATTTCTGTGTGTCTGTCTTTAATTCCTTTAGCACCACTGGGTTAGGGTCTCCCCGACCGAGCTGGTCTTTGCACTTCTCACTTCTGGATATAGGCCTCCCTAGAGGGTTTTTTTTTTCTTTTTTGATAGGATCTTGCTCTTTCATCCAGGCTGGTGTGCTGTAGTGTATTCATGGCTTGCTGCAGTCTTGATCTCCCAGACTCAAGTAATCCTCCCATCTCAGCCTCCTGAATAGCTAGGACCACAGGCCTGTGCCACCATGTCTGGCTACTTTAATTTTTTTTCCCTTAGAGACAGAGTCTCACTATGTTGCCCAGGCTGGTCTCACATTCCTGCACTCGTCATCTTCCTGCCTTGGCCTTCCAAAGTGCTGAGATTACAGGCATGAAACACTACACCTGGCCATCCCTGGAGTATTTCTTCCTTCCTTCCTTCCTTGCTTCCTTCCTTCCTTTTTTCTTTTCCTCCCTCCCTCTCTCTTTCTTTCTTTGTTTCTTTTTCTCCCTTTCTTCCTTTCTTTCTTTCTTTTCTTTCTTTCTTCCTTCCTTTCTTTTTCTTTCTCTCTTTCTTTCTTCTTTCCTTCCTCCTTCCCTCCTTCCCTCCCCTCCCTCCCCCTCCCCTCCCTTCCTTCCTTCCTTCTTTCCTTCCTTCCTTCCTTTCTTCCTTCCTTCTTTCCTGTCTTATTTCAAAACACATGTCTTCCAGTTCAGAAATTATTTAATATGCTTGGTCTAGTGTATGACTAAATTTTTATTTAATTCATTAAATTCTTCAGCTCTGAGATTTCTGCTGTTTTTTTAATACTATCTTTTTTGTTGTTGTTGAATTTCTCATTCAAATTATGAAATGTTTTTCTGATTTTGTTGAATTGTCTATTTGTGTTCTTTTGTATCTCAATGAATTTTTTTTGTCACTGTTGTTTTTGAGACAGGGCCTCACCTTCTTGCCCAGGCTAGAGTTCAGTGGTGTGATTGTAGCCCACTATAACCTCAAACTCTTGGGCTCAAGCAATCCTCTTGCCTCAGCCTCCACAGTAGCTAGGAATATAGCTGTGTGTCACCATGCCCAGCTAATTATTTATTTATTTTTGTAGCGATATGGTCTTCCTGTGTTGCCCAGGCTGATCTCAAATCCCTGCCCTCAAGTCATCCTTCCATCCTGGCTTCTCAAAGTACTGGGATTAGAGGCATGAGCTACTGTGCCTGGCCTCATCAAGTTTCTTTAAGATTTTTATTTTTAATTGTTTTTCTTTCTGGCATTTCTTATATTTCCTATGATTACTGTTACTGGAGAATTACTGTTTTCTGTTGAAGGTGACATGTTTCCTTTCATTTTCATGGTTGATGTATTTCTACATTGGTTTCTACATATCTGGTGGAAAAGTCATCTTTTCTATTTTTATGGAATAGGTTTTCAGGAGAAAAGTTTATTTGTATGAATGAGTCTTGGGATGTCAGTACTGTGGGGTGCATTTGCCTTGGTTCTAGGTGGATGCAGTAGTGCAATCTCCATGTAGTTTCTTCAGCTATAGTCCACACTAGTGGTGTCTGCAAGTTTCCCAGTAGCCTAAGCTGAGAGAATTTGTGGTGATGATGGTGTGGCTTTGTGAGGGGTGAGCTCACCTGGCTGTTTCTGTTTCTCAGGTTGGAAGCATGTGTGTGTGCACAGTGGGTCAGCCAACATGGGGTCTGGCTCTCTGGGGTTGGAGCCTTCAGCCATCTGTGTACTGGAAGGGTGTAGTGGCTACTGGTCCCCAGAGAAGGGCACACTGCAGAAGTGGCTATGGTCTCAATATTGTACCATGCCACAGCAGCTTGGCTCACAGGGAGTGGGTGGAGTGTGGGGAGTGTATACTTTGTGCTCCTAATCTAGGGCAAGGCAGCTACGTGAATTCCTGGTAGCTCTCCAAACTGGGCCTAGGACTTGTGAGGACTGTGACATTCTCCTATAGTACGGACAGTAGGTATTTGTGGTGGCCATGTATCTAGTGGGAATCTTCTGCTTACCTATTCCTTGCAGTGGGAAATCCTTCCCATATCTGGGCTGATCTGATCCTGGTGAGGGAAATGGGGCTATAAAGGGCAGGTGCCTCCATGTTGCCCTCCTGTACTTCCAATCACCACATGTGCATCTCCACTTCCTCACTGTACTCCAGTGCTCTTCCTTCAACAATCTAGTCAAGTCTTAGCTATTTATTTATTGCCATGGTCCTTTCTTGTGGGGAAGACTAGCACCAGGCATCTCTAGTCAGCCATCTTGCTCAAAAGTTTTAAATTTTGATGAAGTCCAATTTGCCTATTTTTTTCTTTCGTTGCTCATGCTTTTGGAGTTATATCTAGGAATTCTTTGCCAAATTTAAGATCACGAAGATACCTCTGTGTTTTCTTCTAAAAGGTTAATAGCTTTTGCTTTCTTACTAAATTTTCATTGATTTTCTTGAATAGAAGTTTCTTCACTTGCTGTTTACCCTTAGGACCATTCCTAGAGGTTTTTTTGTGTGTGTGTGTGTGTGTGTGTGTGTGTGTGTGTGTGTGTGTGTTTTCTTTCCTTTTCTTTCCTTTTTTTGTTTCAGACAGAGTCTCACTTTGTTGCCCAGGCTGGAGTGCAATGGTGCAATCTTGGCTCACTGCAACTCTGCCTTCCAGGTTCAAGTGATTCTCCTGCCTCAGCCTCCTGAGTTGCTGGGATTACAGGCATGTGCCACCATGCCTGGCTAATTTTGTATTTTTAGTAGAGATGGGGTTTCTCCATGTTGGTCAGGCTGGTCTCGAACTCCTGACCTCAGGTGATCTGCCTGCTTCAGCCTCCCAAAATGTTGGGATTACAGGTGTGAGCCACTGCAGCCAGCCAATTTTTGTATTTTTAGTAGAGAAGAGGTTTCACCATGTTGCACAGGCTGGTCTCGAACTCCTGACCTCAAGTGATCCACCCCCTTCAGCCTCCCAAAGTGTGGGATTACAGGCACGAGCCACCACACCTGGCCTAAATGTGTGTGTGTGTTTTTTTTAATAATTTTCACCAGTTTCACTGGGGAGCTGGTCAGTGGAACTCCTCACATTGTCATGCCAGTTGTTGATCCCTGTCCATCCATTCTTGATAAAAATCTCAAAATAACAATATATATATTTTTCCCAATGCAAAACAAGAATCATGTTTAATCACAGAAAAACTAGATACATTTATAATAAAGTTGGAAACGGTATAAGAATGTCTACTGTCAACTCTTCCAAGATGGCCGAATAGGAACAGCTCCTGTCTGCAGCTCCCAGCGAGATCGACACAGAAGATGGGTGATTTCTGCATTTCCAACCTAGGTACCTGGTTCATCTCACTGGGACTGGTTGAACAGTGGGTGCAGCCCACAGAGGGAGAGCGAAGCAGGGCATGGTGTCACCTCACCCAGGAAGTGCAAGGGGTCAGGGGATTTCCCTTTCCTAATCAAGGGAAGCGGTGAGAGACTGTACCAGGAGGAACAGTACACTCTGCCCAAATACTGCACCTTTCCCATTGTCTTCACAACTGGCAGACCAGGAGATTCCCTCTGGTGCCTGGCTTGGCAGGTCCCATGACCACAGAGCCCAGCAATCTATGATCCATTGGCTTGATATTCTTGCTGCTAGCGCAGCGGTCTGGGATTGACCTGGGACACTGGAGCTTGGTGGGGGGAGGGGTGTCTGCCATTGCTGAGGCTTGAGTAGGCAGTTTTATGCTCACAGCATAAACAAAGCTGCCAGGAAGCTTGAACTGGGCAGAGCCCACCACAGCTCAGCAAGGCCAACTGCCTCTCTAGATTCCACCTCTGTGGGCAGGGCATATCGGAACAAAAGGCAGCAGCCCTAGTCAGGGACTTATAGTTAAAACCCTCATCCCCCTGGGACAGAGCACCTGGGGAAAGGGGCAGCTGTGGGCACAGCTTCTCCAGACTTCAATGTCCCTGCCTGACAGCTCTGAAGAGAGCAGTGGTTCTCCCAGCATGGCATTCAAGCTCTGGGACAGACTGCCTCCTCAAGTGGGTCCCTGACCGCTGTGTAGCCTGACTGGGAGACATCTCCCAGTAGGGGCCAACAGACACCTCATACAGGAGAGTTCTGGCTGGCATCTGGTGGGCGCCCCTCTGGGACGAAGCTTCCAGAGGAAGTATCAGGCAGCAATATTTGCTGTTTTGCAGCCTCCTCTGGTGATACCCAGAAAAACAGAGTCTGGAGTGGACCTCCAGCAAACTCCAACAGACCTTCAGCTGAGAGACCTGACTGTTAGAAGGAAAACTAACAAACAGAAAGGAATAGCATCAACATCAACAAAAAGGACATCCACACCAAAACCCCATCCGTAGGTCAGCAACATCAAAAACCAAAGGTAGATAAAACCACAAAGATGAGGGGAAACCGGAACAGAGAGGCTGAAAATTCCAAAAACCAGAACACCTCTTCTCCTCCAAAGGATTACAACTCCTTGCCAGCAAGGGAACAAAACTGGATGGAGAATGAGTTTGATGAGTTGATAGAAGTAGGCTTCAGAAAGTGGGTAATAACAAACTTCTCTGAGCTAAAGGAGCATGTTCCAACCCATCACAAGGAAGCTAAAAACCTTGAAAAAAGGTTAGAGGAATGGCTAACTAGAATAACCAGTGTAGAGAAGAGCATAAATGACCTGATGGAACTGAAAAACACAGCATGAGAACTTCATGAGGCATACACAAACTTCAATAGCTGATTTGATCAAGCGGAAGAAAGGGAAGAAAGTGACTGAAGATCAAATTAATGAAATAAAGTGGGAAGACAAGATTACAGAAAAAAGAATAAAAAGAAAGAAAGCCTCCAAGAAATATGGGACTATGTGAAAAGACCAAATCTACATTTGATTGGTGTACCTGAAAGTGATGGGGAGAATGGAACCAAGTGAGAAAACACTCTTCAGGATATTATCGAGGAGAACTTCCCCAACCTAGCAAGGCAGGCCAACATTCAAATTCAGGAAATATGAGAACATCACAAAGATATTCCTCGAGAAGAGCAACCCCAAGGCACATAATAGTCAGATTCACCAAGGTTGAAATGAAAGAAAAAATGTTAAGGGCTGCCAGAGAGAAAGGTTGGGTTACCCACGAAGGGGAGCCCATCAGACTAACAGCGGATCTCTCTGCAGAAACCTTTCAAGCCAGAAGACAGTGGGGGCCAATATTCAACGTTCTCATATGTAACTAATGTGCACGTTGTGCACATGTACCCTAAAACTTAAAGTTAAATAAAAAAAAAAAGAATTTTCAACCCAGAATTTCATATCCAGCCAAACTAAGCTTCATAAGTGAAGGAGAAATAAAATCCTTTAAAGACAAGCAAATGCTGAGAGCTTTTGTCACCACCAGGCCTGCCTTACAAGAGCTCTTGAAGGAAGCACTAAACATGGAAAGGAGCAACTGGTACCAGTCACTGCAAAAACATGCCAAATTGTAAAGACCATCAACGCTATGAAGAAACTGCATCAATTAACAGGCAAAATAACCAGCTAGCATCATAATGACAGGATCAAATTCACACATAACAATATTAACCTTAAATGTAAATGGGTTAAATGCCCCAATTAAAAGACACGGACTGGCAAATTGGATAAAGAGTCAAGACCCATTGATGTGCTATATTCAGGAGACTCATCTCATGTGCAAAGACACATGTAGGTTCAAAATAAAGGGATGGAGGAAGATCTGCCAAGCAAAAGAAAAGAAAAAATAAAAGCAGAAGTTGCAATCCTAGTCTCTGATAAAACAGACTTTACACCAACAAAGATCAAAAGAGACAAAGAGGACCATTACATAATGGTAAAGGGATCAATTCAACAAGAAGAGCTAACTATCCTAAATATATATGCACCCAATACAGAAGCACCCAGATTCATAAAGCAAGTTCTTAGAGACCTACAAAGAGACTTAGACTCCCACACAATAATAATGGAAGACTTTAACACTCCACTGTCAATATTAGACAGATCAACAAGACGGAAAATTAGCAAGGATATCCAGTACTTGAACTCAGCTCTGGACCAAGTAGACCTAATAGACATCTACAGAACTCTCCACCCCAAATCAACAGAATATACATTCTTCTCAGCATCACCTCACACTTATTCTAAAATTGACCACATAATTGGAAGTAAAACACTCATCAGCAAATGTAAAATAATAGAAATCACAACAAACTGTCTCTTAGACCACAGTGCAATCAAATTAGAACTCAGGATTAAGAAACTCACTCTAAACCACACAACTACATGGAAACTGAACAGCTTGCTCCTGAATGACTACTGGGTAAATAACGAAACGAAGGCAGAAATGAAGATGTTCTTTGAAATCAATGAGAACAAAGACACAATGTACCAGAATCTCTGGGACACATTTAAGGCAGCGTGTAGAGGGAAATTTATAGCACTAAATGCCCACAAGAGAAAGCAGGAAAGATCTAAAATTGACACCCTAGCATCACAATTAAAAGAACTGGAGAAGCAAGAGCAAACACATTCAAAAGCTAGCGGAAGACAAGAAATAACTAAGATCAGAGCAGAACTGAACGAGATAGAGACACAAAAATCCCTTCAAAAAATCAATGAATCCAGGAGCTGGTTTTTTGAAAAGGGAACAAAATAGATAGAATGCTAGCAAGACTAATAAAGAAGAAAAGAGAGAAGACTCAAATAGATGCAATAAAAAATGATAAAGGGGATATCACCACCAATCCCACAGAAATACAAACTACCATCAGAGAATACTATAAACATCTCTATGCAAATAAATTAGAAAATCTAGAAGAAATGGATAAATTCCTGGACACATACACCCTCCCAAGACTAAACCAGGAAGAAGTCGAATCTCTGAATAGACCAATAACAGGTTCTGAAATTGAGGCAATAATTAGCCTACCAACCAAAAAAAGTCCAGGACCAGATGGATTCACAGCTGAATTCTACCAGAGGTACAAAGAGGAGCTGGTACCATTCCTTCTGAAATTATTCCAATCAATAGAAAAAGAGGGAATCCTCCCTAACTCGTTTTATGAGGCCAGCATCATCCTGATACCAAAGCCTGGCAGAGACACAACAAAAAAAGAGAATTTTGGGTCAATATCCCTGATGAACATCAATGCAAAAATCCTCAATAAAATACTGGCAAACCGAATCCAGCAGCACTTCAAAAAGCTTATCCACCATGATCAAGTCAGCTTCATCCCTGGGATGCAAGACTGGTTCAACATACCCAAATCAATAAACGTAATCCATCACATAAACAGAACCAATGACAAAAACCACATGATTATCTCAATAGATGCAGGAAAGGCCTTTGACAAAATTCAACAGCCCTGCATGCTAAAAACTCTCAATAAACTAGGTATTGATGGATGTATCTCAAAATAATAAGAGCTATTTATGACAAACTCACAGTCAATATCATAGTGAATGGGCAAAAACTGGAAGCATTCCCTTTGAAAACTGGCACATGACAAGGATGCCCTCTCTCACCACTCCTATTCAACATAATGTTGGAAGTTCTGGCCAGGACAATCAGGCAGGAAAAAGAAATAAAAGGTATTCAATTAGGAAAAGAGGAAGTCAAATTGTCTCTCTTTGCAGACGACATGATTTTATATTTAGAAAACCACATTGTCTCAGCCCAAAATCTCCTTTAAGCTGATAAGCAACTTCAGCAAAGTCTCAGGATACAAAATCAATGTGCAAAAATCACAAGCATTCCTATACACCAATAGCAGACAAACAGCCAAATCATGAGTGAACTCCCATTCACAATTGCTACAAAGATAATAAAATACCTAGGAATCCAACTTACGAGGGATGTGAAGGAACTCTTCAAGGAGAACTACAAACCATTGCTCAATGAAATAAAAGAGGACACAAACAAGTGGAAGAACATTCCATGCTCATGGATAGGAAGAATCATTATTATGAAAATGGCCATACTGCCCAAAGTAATTTATAGATTCAGTGCTATCCCCATCAAGCTACCACTGACTATCTTCACAGAATTGGAAAAAACTACTTTAAAGTTCATATGGAGCCAAAAAAGGGCCTGCATAGCCAAAACAATCCTAAGCAAAAAGAACAAAGCTGGAGGCATCATGCTACCTGACTTCAAACTATACCTCAAGGCTGCAGTAACCAAAACTGCATGGTATTGGTACCAAAACAGATATATAGACCAATGGAACAGAACAGAGGCCTCAGAAACAACACCACACATCTACAACCATCTGATCTTTGACAAACCTGACAAAAGCAAGCACTGGGAAAGGATTCTCTATTTAATAAATGGTGCTGGGAAAACTGGCTAGCCATATGTAGAAAGCTGAAACTGGATCCCTTCCTTACACCTTACACAAAAATTAACTCAAGATGGGTTAAAGACTTAAATGTAAGACCTAAAACCATAAAAACCCTAGAAGAAAACCTAGGCAATACCATTCAGGATGTAGGCATGGACAAAGACTTCATGACTAAAACACCAAAAGCAATGGCAACAAAAGCCAAAATAGATAAATGGGATCTAATTAAACTAAGGGATTTTGCATGCAAAAGAAACTATCAGCAGAGCGAACAGGCAACCTACAGAATGGGAGAAAATTTTTGCAATCTATCCATCTGACAAAGGTCTAATATCCAGAATCTACAAAGAACTTAAACAAACAAACAACCCCATCAAAAAGTGGGCAAAGGATATGAACAGACACTTCTCAAAAGAAGACATTTATGCATCCAACAGACATATGAAAAAATGCTGCTCATCAGTGGTCATTAGAGAAATGCAAATCAAAACCACAATGAGATACCATCATGCCAGTTAGAATGGTGATCATTAAAAAGTCAGGAAACAACAGATGCTGGAAAGGATGTGGAGAAATAGAAAAGCTTTTACACTGTTGGTGGGAGTGTAAATTAGTTCAACCATTGTGGAATACAGTGTGGCGATTCCTCAAGGATGTAGAACTAGAAACATCATTTGACCCAGCAATCCCATTACTGGGTATATACCCAAAGGATTATAAATCATGCTGCTATAAAGACATATGCACATGCATGTTTATTGTGGCACTATTCACAATAGCAAAGACTTGGAACCAACCCAAACGTCCATAATAATATAGTGGATAAAGAAAATGTGGCACATATACACCATGGAATACTATGCAGCCATAAAAAAGGATGAGTTCATGTCCTTTGTAGGGATATGGATGAAGCTGGAAACCGTCATTCTCAGCAAACTATCACAAGGACAGAAAACCAAACACTGCATGTTCTCACTCATAAGTGGGAATTGAACAATGAGAACACATGGACACAGGGAGGGGAACATCACACACTGGGACCTGTCGGGGGGTGGGGGGTGGGGGAGGGATAGCATTAGGAGAACTACCTAATATAAATGACGAATTGATGGGGGCAGCCAACCAACATGGCACATGTATACCTATGTAACAACCCTGCACGTTGTGCACATGTACCCCAGAACTTAATGTATAGTAATAATAATAATAAAGAATGTCTACTGTCTTCACTATTATTTAACATTGTTTTGCAGATACTAGTCAAGGCAACTAGATAAGAGAAAAAATTATAGGTATAAAATTTGGAAAGGAGGTACAGTTATAATTATTTGCAGACAGAATGTATAGCTGAAAAAGCTGAAGCAATCAAAAGCAAAACTACTAACATTGTAAGAGAATTCAGTAAGTAATCTGGATGCACAATTAATATACAGAATTGATAGCCTTTATGTATGTAAACAACAACAACCAGTTAGAAAATACAATAAAAGAAATTCCATTTATAAAGGCAGTAAAAAACATTTAGGGTTAAACTTAAGACATGTGTAAGTGCTGGCTGGGCATGGTGGCTCACGCCTGTAATCCCAACACTTTGGGAGGCTGAGGCGGACAGATCACTTGAGGTCAGGAGTTCGAGACCAGCTTGCCCAACATAATGAAACCCCAGTCTCTACTAAAAATACAAAAATTAGCTGGGTATGGTGGTGCATGCCTGTAGTCCCAGCTACTCCGGAAGGCTGAGAGAGGAGAATCGCTTGAACCTGGGATATGGAGATTGCAGTGAGCCGAGATCACGCCACTGCACCCCAGCCTGGGCGACAGAGCGAGATTCTGTCTCCAAAAAAAAGAAGTGTGTAAGAGGTATATGGAAACACTTATGAAATTATCAAAAGAAGACTTAAACAAATGGGAAGAAATACCATATTCTTAAATTAAAAAAACCTACAGTGGTCCCCCACTTATCTGTGGGTAACATATTCCATCTACCCCCAATAGATGCCTGAAACCTTGTATAGTACAAAACCTTGTTTATAGTATTTTTTTGCTGCATATATGTGTGTGTGTGTATATATATATATATGTATATATATATATATATGTGTATATATATATATGTATATATACATATATATATATGTATATGTATATATATGTATATATATACACATACATATTTTTTTGAGACGGAGTCTCGCTCTGTCGCCCAGGCTGGAGTGCACTGGTGTGATCTCGGCTCACTGCAAGCTCCATCTCCCAGGTTCACGTCATTCTCCTGCCTCAGCCTCCCGAGTAGCTGGGACTACAGGCGCCTGCCACCATGCCTGGCTAATTTTTTTTTTTTGTATTTTTAGTAGAGATGGGTTTTCACCGTGTTAGCCAGCATGGTCTCGATCTCCGGATCTCGTGATCCGCCCGCCTCAGCCTCCCAAGGTGCTGGGATTACAGGCGTGAGCCACCGTGCCCGGCCTTTTTGCTGTATATATTATACATACCTATGATAAAGTTTAATTTACAAATTAGGCATAGTAATATATTAACGACTAATAATAAAATAGACCAATTATAACAATATACCAGCATCACAATGCTTGTACTTTGGGGTTGTTGTTATTATTATTATTATTGTTTGAGATGTAGTCTCCTTCTGTCACCAGGCTAGAGTGCAGTGGCACGATCTGGGCTCACCGCAACCTCCGCCTCCTGAGTTCAAGCAATTCTCCTGCCTCAGCCTCCTGAGTAGCTGGGACTACAGCCGTGCACCACCACGCCCAGCTAATTTTCGTATTTTTAGTAGAGACCAGGTTTCACCATGTTGGCCAGGATGGTCTTGATCTCTTGACCTTATGATCCGCCTGCCTCAGCCTCCCAAAGTGCTGGGATTACAGGCATGAGCCACTATGCCTGGCCTATTTTGGAGCTATTACTAAGTAAAATAGGGGTTACTTGAACACAAGCACTGTGATACCGTGACAGTTAATTTGATAACTGAGATGCTACTCAGTGACTAATGAGCACATAGTGTATAAGCATGGATATGCTGGACAAAGGGGTGATTCACATTCCAGGCAGAACATACACCAGGATGGTGCAAGATTTCATCATGCTACCCAAAACAGCATGCAATTTAAAACTTATGAATTGTGTATTTCTGAAATTTTCCATTTAATATTTTTCAGACCAGGGTTGACTGCGGGTAACTGAAACTGTGGAAAGTGAAACCCACAGTTTCAGTTATCCGCAGTAAGGACTGACCTTCCTCTATATCTTGTAGGGTCCATCCTCACCTAGAACATAAAGATGTACTTGGGGGCTATTATAGATGTACTTTGGGGCTAACATAAAGATGTTTTAGGCTTATAGCTTTTGCTTTCTTATTAAATTTTCATAGGTTTTCTTGAATAGATGTGTCTTCATTTGCTGTTTGCCCTTGGGACTATTTCTCGAGGCTTTATTTTATTTTATTTTATTTTAGTAATTTTCACCAGTTTCACAGGGGAGCTGGTCAGTGGAACTCCTCACATTGTCATGCCACTTCTGCAGTGTGCCCTCCTCTGGGGGCCAGTAGCCACTACACCTTTCCAGAACTCAGATGTTGGGATGACAACATCAAGGGAAACCAAGGATGTTGGGAATTCCAAGATCAAGGTGCTGGCAGATTTGATGTTGGTGAGAGTCCTCTTCCTCTTCCATAGATAGCTGTCATTTCACTGTAACCTCACACGGCAGAGGGTGAGATATCTCTGGGTCTCTTTTATAAGGGCACTAATCCCATTCATGAGGACTCTACCCTCATGACCTAATCACTTCCCAAAAGCCCTTAATACCATCACCTTGGGGGTTAGGATTTCAACATATGAATTTTGGGGCAAAACACACAGTCTCTAGCAACTAGAAAGCCTTTCTAATTCTCTCTCTCTCTCATCATCGTTGGTATGAGCTCAATTCTTGTTTTTAATGGTTTAAAATTCATCCTTGTATTTAATTATTTTGGTGCTTAAATTGCACGTAGAGACCACTTTGATCTGGTTCCTGTGACCTTGTAACATACTCCCATCAATTTTTTGGAACAATTCCTTGCTTTCTGGTATAAAAATATGTTCCAGACTTATCTTGTATCCAATCCTATCCCCGCCTTGGAATCAACCATTTCTTTTAAGAAGTTCTGTCTCCTTTTAGAAAGGAATGGTGTTAGAAGCTGAAATCTGGGTACTAGATTTGTTCCTTTTTACTGGGTGTCATTACTTCTTGGAACTTTCAGCAGTCAGCACTAGGAAATATATCCATGTACACACCATTGTTCTGGAGGCTGGGAAGTCCAGGATCAAGTTGCTGGCAGATTCGATGTCTAGTTAGGGCCCTCTTCATGCATTGCTTAACAATGGAGACACATTCTGAGAAAAGTCTCTTTAGGTGATTTTGTCATTGTGTGAACCTCATAGAGTGTACTTACACAAACCTAGATGGTATAGCCTACTATACACCTTGACTACATGGTATAGCCTACTATACACCTTGACTACATGGTATAGCCTATTGCTCCAAGGCTAGAAGCCTGTACAGCATGTTACTGTACTGCATACTATAATACAATGCTAAGTATTTGTGTATCTAAACACAGCAAAAAGTACAATAAAAATACAGAACTATAACCTTATGGGATCCCATTGTATATGCGATTGTCATTGACTGAAACATTGTTATGTGGCCCAGGGCTACATACCCGTACATACAAATGTACATACACACATATATACATATTCATACATATACATGTGCACATAAACAGGCACACAAACATACATATACAATTTTGAGGAAATTGTAGAAAAAGGTGAGAAGCGAGTGTTCTTAGTTATAGTAGGATGCCTATTAGGACTAGTAAATGTAGAGGGTGTGCTGGGATTGGAGAATCATCATTTTGCAATCATCGTAGTATTGATAGGATCAGACAAGAATTGTCAATGGATACTTAACCTAGGGGAAATTTTAATGAGCAGCAGAATATTTGCATGGTCTTAAAGTGTGTCCTCACAAACTATAAGTTGCAAGGGAGAAAAAAAAA
Organism: Homo sapiens; assembly: GCF_000001405.40. Classification (NCBI taxonomy): domain Eukaryota; kingdom Metazoa; phylum Chordata; class Mammalia; order Primates; family Hominidae; genus Homo; species Homo sapiens. The sequence goes on from NC_000001.11 coordinate 205,909,474, forward strand.
ACAACCCCAGTAATCATATAGTGGAGAAATCAGGCAATACCCCCAACTGAGTAATCAAAATTAATTTCACCTATGAGAGACTGGTGGCCATTATGTGCTTCCAGATGTGTTAGGCAGAAAAAGACAGAGCATTTCCTATGGAGTATTCTGGGAGAAAATGCAAAACCTCAGTATAATCATAAGGAAATATCAGACAAATGCAAAATGAGGAATACAAAGAAAGGGTGGGTGAACCACAATCTTAGAAAAATGTCAATGCTGTAAAAGACAAAGACGAGTTGTAGACACGTTCCAGATAACAGGACACTAAAACACATGCAACTAAATTCAGTACCTGGCCGGGCATGGTGGCTCATGCCTGTAATCCCAGCACTTTGGGAGGCCGAGGCAAGAGGATTGCTTGAGCTGAGGAGTTTGAGACCAGCTTGGGGAACATGGAGAAATCCTATCTCTACAAAAAATACCAAAAATTAGCCAGGAGTAGTGGTGTGCACCTATGGTCCAAGCTACCTGGGAGGGTGAGGTGGGAGGATCACCTGGCCCCAGAGGTTGAGGCTACATTGAGCTGTGATAGCTCCACTGCGCTCCAGCCTGGGCGATGGAGTGAGACCCCGTCTCAATAAATAAATGAAAAAAAGAAAATAAATTCAATACCTGACTTTAGATTAAATCCTGTGCTGGAGAGGAAAAAATGCTTCATTAGATAAACTGACAAAATTGGTATATGAATGGTAGATTAGATAAAAGTATTGGATCAATGTAAATGCATTAAGTTGATAACTGTACTGTGATTATGTAAGACACTATCTCTCAGGAAATACACACTGAAGTATTTAAAGTTAAAGGACTTCATCCTCAAATGCCTCAGAAAAAAGTTATGCATGTCCACAGAGAGAAAGAAAAGAGACATAAGCCAGTGGTGGTGGCTCATGCCTGTAATCCCAGCACTTTAGGAGGCCGAGGCGGGCAGATCACCAGAGGTCAGGAGTTCGAGACCAGCCTGGCCAACATGGTGAAGCCCTGTCTCTACTAAAAATACAAAAAAATTAGCCAGGCCTGGTGGCAGGTGCCTGTAATCCCAGCTATTCAGGAGGCTGAGGCAGGGAGAATCGCTTGAACCCAGGAGGCAGAGGTTGCAGTGAGCTGAGGTCACACCATTGCACTCCAGCCTGGGCGACAAGAGTGAGACTGTCTAAAAAAAGAAAAAGAAAAGAGAGACAATGAAAGAGTAAATGATAAAGCAAATGGGGTAAAATGTTAACCATAAGTGAACCAGATTAAAGAGCATACAGTGTTTATTATGTGATTTTTTTTTTCTTTTTGAAAACAGGGTCTTGCTCTGTTGCCCAGGCTGGAGTGCAGCGATGCGATCATAGCTCATTGTAATCTCAAATCCCTGGACTCAAGTGATCCTCTTGTCTCAGCCTTCCTGGTAGCTAGGACTATAGGCATGTGCCATCGTGCACAGCTAATTTTTAAAAATTTTAAATTGTCTTTGTAGAAATGGGGGGTAAGGGTGGGGATCTCCTTTTGTTGCTCAGGCTAGTCTCAAACTCCTGGCCTCAAATGATCTTCCTGCCTTGGTCTCCCAAAGTGCTGGTATTACAGGTGTGAGTCACTGCATCCAGCCTCCTGTGATACTTTTAGTTTTGCAACTTTTTATTCGTTTGAAATTATTTCCAAGTAAAAAGTTTGTTTAAAAAAACCTCTTATTTAAACAAAAATCTTTGTTGAAGGAAAAGTGTTTACTTCCAGCTCTGGAAGTAAGAAGTAACTCGCATAATTCTAAAGAATCTGCTTTCATGTTATGCAATTTAGAGACAGAAGGTCTTAGTGTCATCCTGTTTGATCTACCATCTAGAGCAGGAGCTCCTCTGACAACATCCCTGGCAGGTGGTTAGCTTACCTCTTCTTGGGCATGTTCAGGGATTCACAGTCTTAAAATTACCCCATTCCAGTCTAGAATGGTGAGATGGCTGTCTTACAAATGCTTCTATACTACCTCAATATACGACTAATGCCATGTTGTAGTTAGACAACTACATAGGTTACAGTGGGTTTGGAAGATGAAAGGCTAAAGAAATGTACCCAATTCAGATGCTACTTATGTGCCACTCAAAACCCTCCTACTAAGCCTCTGTTGGAATAATGGTTCTGGGTGGTCTTATCTGCCAGCCCCTCCCAGGAGCCATGCCATACCTCTTCCTTCTTGCAGGTGCGTCATTGATGCCCTAGCATGGGTCACCTTGGGAACTGCTCTGCACGCATATCCATGCATCCTACATTTGTTGAAGAGTTAATACCCATAGGGCCATCCTTGATCAATGGACTATGGGTGTGATGGTTAAATGTTTCTCTAGGACAGTTTGCAGATGCTTCTCACAGG